>NC_000006.12:12938787-13090303 GCF_000001405.40 Homo sapiens
TGTAAACGGAACACTAAAGGATGAACTTTTTTTTTTGTTTGGCTTCTTTCACTTGGCCTAATTATTTTCTGATTTATTCACGTTGTTGCAGATCTCAACAGTTCATGCGTTTTTAATCACTGAGTAGTGTTTCATTGTATGGATATACCACAATTTGTCCATTTACCTGTTAATGAACAGCGGGGAAGTTTCCAGTTTTTGACTATTACAAATTAAGCTGCTATGAACAGTCACATACAAATCTTGGTATCAAGCCCATACTCTTAATTATTACATAATACAGCTTTTCTGAACAAAGATAAACCTAGGACATATAGATGCTGTATTGTGTGGCAAAATCATGCTGAACCAGAACTGAGACTGCTGGATTCCAGATGCTGTCCCCTAGTCTAAGAATAATGAGTAACCATTGGAAAATACAATGGTAAAGCCTTTAATTTAGATGTCACTTGGTCTCTCCATAATCGAAGGAGAGATTGCCTTAGGTAACTGATGCCTTAGGTAGGTGGTGCCTTAGCATCAGTTAATTCAGTACATTTGCTTGATATAAAACTTGAACAATCAACAAGAAGCAGTTTGGCATAGGAGGAAAAGTTCTGGACTGGATGTCAGAAAACCTGGATTTGAGCCCACCTAACATAGAAATCCCTGGTTTGTACTCTGTCTCCCACATTTAACAAGAGTGTGACTGTTAACCAGTCACTTCTCGTATCTAGAACTCTTTCCTCATCAGTCAAAATCCCAGCCAAGTCTAAGGCTGACGCATAGCTCATACTAATTGGAGAAAAGCAGTAGATTATACAAGTAGCTGTATATTCATGACATTCACACCATTCCACTCTTCTTTATTGATGTGGAATTCTACATCTCAGAGCTGCAAGCAACCTAAGTGAGCATAAAAGAGAACCGAGACCCCAGGAGCTAGGGGGGGCCAGAGGTGCCCCACTAGTCACTGGCAGAGGTGGGCTCAAATCCAGGTTTTCTGACATCCAGTCCAGAACTTTACCTCCAATGCCAAACTGTTTCTTGTTGATTGTTCAAGTTTTATAGCCAGCAAATGTACTGAATTAATTGAGTGCATTTTTTCCACTTTATAATGAATTTGGGTGGCAGTCACCTGTCTCAGAATGTTTACTATACAATTTGTGATCAAATCCCAGATGCTTCTGTCCTCAGGACCCAGAGTAACACCTTGCCAGCTAGGTAAATGCGGCAAGAAAGGAAACACTTTTGGGGAGAGAAGCTGTAATAAGAGAGACAAATACATGATTCATTTCCCCCCTGCTGTTAGTTTAAGATATAATTACCCAAACTTTAAAAATAAAACCTGAACACCATCACAGCCTCTGCGACACAATGGCAAAAGCACACCCTCTTGCAACAGCACCAATCACATATTTAACAACTGCTGTTTTAGGTTTAAGCTAATTAGGGAATGATTTTTGGTACATGTATTCCTATTGCAATTAAATAACTCATGGTGTGGGATGGCATTGTGAAGTCTTCTTAAAACTGCTTTTCAGCTTTTTGTGTTAAAAGATGAATTTCATATATATAACATGGTTGTAAGGGGTTTGTGTTTTAACTCATGAGAGCCTGCATATGTTGGTTTAGGGTTACTTTTCTTTAGGGCAAATTCAGCAACAGGGTAAGAGGCTGGAAGAGTTTCTATTTAGAATGGTGAAATATTCAGTGGAGATAAAATTGCTTTATGATGTTTGCCCCAGAAGTCAGTTGAGAATTCGTAATAGATGAAAAGCCTTGACTTTAAGGAGGTGGAAGTCCTCATGGAACTTTTTGCTAGGAAGTTGCTCAGAAGTGATGGAAATATACATTCTCGCCTCTGTGTGTCATGTCCTACATACATCTCATCCTGGCTTTGACATGGGTAAAGCAAGCAGGTTGGAGATTTTTATGTTGATCTTCACGTTTAATGACTCTCTGAGTGCTGTGCTGCTCATCTGTGCCATCTACGTTTCTCAGCCTCCCATTAGTGGGACTATTTTAATGTTTGAACACACTTGTCCCTTAATATGTATCATTTGGACAGAGACGCTTACTATCTGTTCATGACGGATGCTAAGACAGAAAAATCGGGACAGACAGAAATGATTCTTACTACTGTCACCCCATGTAGCAATGGCTTCAAGGTGTCTGTATAGATTGTCCTTAGTAATTACAATATTATTGGAAGGAGAGCCTGGGGGCTTGGCCTTAAAGAGGTGCTTGCAGAGTAAGCATATGATTTTCACTTGGCCGTTATGTTTCCTGGGCTTTTTATGGCATCAATCTCATATGAGCAATCCTTTTCTACCTACCAGTGAGGCTCAGGGTCAAGGGCACTCCACTCACCTTTGTAGTTCACCTACAGAAAACCCTTGAGTCCCAATACGTTTGGGTAAACTTTCTTCAGCTGGTGAAAGGCTAAACCAGACCAGCAGTAAAGTCCTCTTTAAGAAGTATCCTCAGAGTCGTAGCAAATTACTGACAGGTACTTGATATTTAACCTACATCACATATTCTGTGTCACATCTGGTGCTTGGCCCACTGCAGTTGTGGCACTCTTTATGGCCATTTGTTATGGCATAAATCACCTCTGTAAAATGATGAAGGGTCTTTCTTACAAGTCATAACTGTGAAGAGAAGCAAGCAGAAAACCACAGTAGTACCAGGCTGATTGTAAGTAAAGAAGAGGTGGAGGGGCCTCATCACTCAGCACATTGCTCTAAGACCTTTCCTCAGCAGGGAGAGTTCGTGACCGGATGTCACTACCTCTCACTCGCCACTTCCTGCCTCTCCACTTGAATCTGCTCCTACCTTCAGTAAGTAGGAGCCAAACGTCCTTGAAGTGTAGCATTGGGGTTCTGGGAAGCTGCAGAGTTGTGAATTATGGGTGTACGTCAGGACAGGCGAGCCTCGAAGCAGCATGAGTCAGGGATACAGCATAGTCAGAGCCCAGGGCAGATTCTCAGCCAGAAGCAAGCATACAAGCAAAAGTATATGCAACCTGATGTTTGTAACGCTGAAGGCTTGCACTGGCATAGAAAAATATGTAAAGTGAACTCAAAGGTCATTATATGGGGCTTGCAATCAAAACATCATGAGTGGACCTGAATTAACTAAAATGCATTTTCTAATACAGACAGAGAGTTCTTTGATATTTCCTTTTGGAGAAGCTCCTCCCCAAGGTATGAAACACTTTGAGCAGGAGATAAATGGCTCATCAATTCCCCCATTCTGCCAGCAACTGACCTCATCCAGAGTGGGATTAAAGGAAAAGTACCCATAAGAAAATCTCTGCCTACATTCATTGACATTGAGTTTCCAATGCCACATCCCATCTTTTGCCCACCCTTGAGGAAACAGAATATTCCAACAGACATGCAACAACAAAAAAAGAAGGAAAAAAGAGAAAAAATTGATAATCCTCAAAATGATCTGAGTCATTTCCCATTAAATATGTCATTATTTCCATATGATTATGTGCCTTTTAGTGTGCCTAGCACTGTGCTACTTAAACACCACAGGGATATCAAGTAGTAGAAACACAATACAAGCTAATACTTTTTGAGTATTTATTGCCAAGTGATATACTACACTTTTGAAATACCCTGCCCTGTTTAAAGTAACCACAACTTCATGTTGTAGTTAGAGCTAGTTCTTTCTTTTACACGTGATGAAACTAAGTCTTAGGAGTCAAACAACTAGTTTAAAGTCACACAGTGGCCAGGTGCAGTGGTTTACACCTGTAATCCCAGTCACTTGGGAGGCCGAGACAGGAGAATCGCTTGAACCCAGGAGGCGGCAGGTTCAGTGAGCCGAGATCATACCACTGCACTCCAGCCTGGGCGACAGAACGAGATCCTGTCTCAAATAAATAAATGTAAATAAGGTCACAATGATACATGACAAGCCTGGGATTGGAATTCATACAGTCCAACTCCAATGCCCTAGTGTTTGACAATGCAGTTCCACTGAAGAAAGTAGCTTATGAGCTAGTGGAGAAATGAATCATACAAGTCAATCTTCCTGACCGATGCTGATACAAGCACACATATCCCAAAGCTCCATAGCTCTTTCACCCAGGCATTTCAGCAGGTATAGATCTGCCCTACCAACCACATTCAATCTTTGCAGAATCCTGGTAATATTCAATAGAAAAGTATTATTCATTCCTCAATAGGTTAAACATAGAATTACCATATGACCCAGCAATTCCACTCCTAGACAGATATCCTAAAGAATTAGAAACAGATGTTCAAACAAAAACTTGTACAGGAATGTTCATAGCAGCGTTACTCACAATAGCCAAAAGGTAGAAACACCCACAAATGTTCATCAATGAACAAAGTGTGGACAAACAATATGTGGCATATCCATATAATGAAATATTATTCAGCCATAGAAAGAAAGAAAGTACTGACATGTGTACTTTATGGATGAACCTTGAAAATACTATGCCAAGAGAAAGAAGCCACATATGTCTGATTCCATTTACATGAAATGTCCAGAATAGGCAAATTCACAGAGACAGGAGGCAGGTTGGTTTTACCAGGGGGCTAAGGAAAATGGGAGAATGAGGTATGATTGTTTCTTGCCTACAGGGTTTCCTTTTGGGTTGATGAAAATATTATAGCACTACGTAGTGTCGATGGCTGCACAACACTTTGAATATACTAAATGGCACTGAATTCTACACCTTAAAATGGTTACAATAGTGAATTTTACATATGTGTATTCTGCCACAATGGAAAGAAAAGGTTGTTATGGACCTGGGATAGTATGATCCATGTGGCATTTTTAGGGGTTCATAGATGTGTAAGACACATTCTCTATCCTCAAATAATTTAGAAATACACTGATGATGAAATTAAAATGCACGTGTCCTTCTTGCTTTTATATGAATGGGAAGGTGCCGTTGCTTTGGTGACAAATGGTATATCCAAGTAAGTAATTGCTTCACTGTGGTTGAATTGACACCTGTCAACATGTAATGATTTATAAAGGTTGTAAAACATTTAGAAATTCATAAGCTCTGAATGGCACATGTAAATTTATTTTATATTTGAGATAATAGTTAAGAATTTATGATATTCTAAATCTGTAGGCCTTGCATCTAGTCTTGGAATTTTCTTGTTTTTGCTGGAACAATAGAAAAATAATGGACAAAAGATGACTCTTCTGCATATTTAGGTCTCAGGTCATTTTATGGATTATTAACTTTGCCAAACTGCATGTGGGATTAATTGGAAACAATTGCAGTGTTCTTACTACATTGCACCACTTCCTTTTGTTAATTAAGAGACATTACCCTCTGTTCTACTGATAACAAAAGGGATGACTCTTTTATTACCAGACAGCAGCCATGGAAGGAAAGGCAGGAGGCACAGTGTGTCTGAGAATTAAGGCAATGATCGAGGGCATGCCATCTCAGTATGGTGGCTACTGAGAGAGACGCTGAGTCCAACTCCTGGGCTGTTAAGTATGCTTAATTCTAAGCTTCTAGTTCAATCTGCCCAATTACAATTTGGCCTGTCTGTTTGCTAGTTGACAAAAGCAAGCTGCCTAAAAATGCAAAACATACTAAGGAGGATAAAATAACAATGGGGTTGATTAAGAAAATCCCTCACCATCCACAATTACATACCTCTGCTAATCTTTTCATTTAAAAAATAAATTAGAAACAAAATTAATACAACATCTATAAGTGCCCTTTAACAGTAAACCTTTTAAAAAATAAACTTCCTTATTCTGACTTTACTGAAAGAGTTGGGAAGTGGGTATGTGTGTAGCTCTGTGCTTCAAAAGAACATATCTGTCCCCCTAAAATAATTGTTTGATCAGATTACTGTAATGCCCAAGCGTGTTCTGAACACCCACTTTGCAAGCTAGGTAACGTAGAGAAGACAGAGAAAGTTCCCGTGAATGGGGATGAAAGGAGCGGTGAAGACGTCGTCACCTTTTGAATTATTTATTTATTTATTTATTTATTTTTATTTATTTTTTTTTTTTTGAGACGGAGTCTGGCTCTATCGCCCAGGCTGGAATGCAGTGGCGCGATCTCGGCTCACTGCGAGCTCCGCCTCCCGGGTTCACGCCATTCTCCTGCTTCAGCCTCCCGAGTAGCTGGGACTACAGACACCCGCCACCACGCCTGGCTAATTTTTTGTATTTTTAGTAGAGACGGGGTTTCACCGTGTTAGCCAGGATGGTCTCGATCTCCTGACCTCATGATCCGCCCGTCTCGGCCTCCCAAAGTGCTGGGATTACAGGCATGAGAGTTAAGATTTCTTTTACTCCCTCAGACATGCCATGCTCTCTCTGGTTTTAGCAGCTTCATACGAGCAGTTGCCCCTGACTACATTCTTCCCCTTTTGCCTCCTTTATTCCCATCTGACTAACTCCTACTTCTCTTTTAGGTCCCCATATAAAACCACTTCCTCCAGAAAGCCCTCCCTAATCACTCCCCCAGATTCATTGTCTTTCTGCTATGCGCTGCCACAACTGTCTCTGTTTCCCCTATGATAGCTCTTACTGCATTTTGTGGTTATTGCATGTTTACTTATCCACTGTTCAGTCAAAACTGTAAGTTTCATGAAAGCAGGAATTATGTTCATCTTGCTGTCGAGAATATTTTCTCAGTACATTCTCCAGTGCCTGGCATGGTGCTAAATAAATATTTTCCAAGTCCATGAATAAGGACAGATGAAATAAAATGTGAATGAGTGAAGAAGATTTGAATAAATCAGGGATTCCCAGTGTACGGTCATTAAATGCTAATTCTTACGGGTTTCTAGAAAAAGAGGAATCTGGTGTTTAGGAAACACTGGGTAGCAAAGCCAACCTGATTTACCTGCTGCAGGACTTCTCAGAGCATTTTAAATGCTGAAGTTCAGCTGGGTACAGTGGCTCATGACTGTAATCCCAGCATTTTGGGAGGCGGAGGCAGGCAGATCACCTGAGGTCAGGAGTTCGAGACCAGCCGAGCCAACATGACAAAACCCCAACTTTACTAAAAATACAAAAATTACCCAGGCGTAGTGGTGGGTGCCTGGAGTCCCAGCTACTCAGGAGGTTGAGGCAGGAGAACTGCTTGAACCCAGGAGGTGGAGGTTGCAGTGGCCAAGATCGTGCCACCGCACTCCAGCCTGGGTAACAGAGCAAGACTCTGTCTCAAAAATAAATAAATAAATAAATAAATAAATAAATAAATGCTAAAGTTCATGAAACCTCCAAGGCGGGGGTGGAAGTGGATCTAGTATACAGTATTACACCAGATTACCAGATTTCTTTTCTTCAGTAGACATCTCACAAGACCAGTATTCTGAGGAGCATATATTGGGAAATGCCACAAAAGATAAAGAATAAAGAAATGCCTTGTCCAGTGAGAAGGTGGGTAGGGAAAGATGAAAAGTGTGTAGAATACTAAGTAGACTATAATAGCAGAAAATGTGGCATCAGGGAGGGATGGAGTGAAAAATGAGCAGGAATGTAGTGAAGGAAGTTGGGTGCCATGCTAAACAACTTGAACATTATGCTGTCAAGGGAGTGATATTAACCTTTGAGAAAGGGTGTCATGTACTAACCTGGTTTTAGGAAGCCAATTCTGGTGGCGGTGTGAAAAACAAAGCTCCGAGATATGAGCGATTTGCAAATGGGAAACCAGTTAGATTATTGCAGAAGACCTGGTAAGAGAGGGTAAGGATGTGAATTGGGAAAATTGCAAGTGGTGTAGAAGAGAAGGCTCTAGAAAAATAGATTAAAAGATCAGAAGTGAGATCATCCAGGGAAAAGTAAGGCCAAAAAATGGCTTGAGAGAGAACTCAACATTTAAGAAGCAGATAAATGGAGAAAAAGCAAAGAAATAAGAAGTACAGTTGAAGCAAACAAATGAAAAAGTAGCTTAGAGTAAGTGGTATTGCAGAAAGAGAGAAAAGAATTGCAGTGTGGTGTCCAATATGGTAGAGGGCTCAGAGTCAAAAGAAGCATTACACATACAGTGCAATGATGGTGCTGGATTTTTTTTTTTTTTTTTTTTTTTTTGAGATGGAGTCTTGCTCTGTCGCTCAGGCTGGAGTGCAGTGGCACAATCTCGGCTCACTGCAACCTCCACCTCCCCGGTCCAAGCAATTCTCCTGCCTCAGCCTCCTAAGTAGATGGGATTAAAGGCACCCACCACCACGGCTGACTAATTTTTGTATTTTTAGTAGAGATGGGGTTTCACCATGTTGGTCAGCCTGGTCTCAAACTCCTGATGTCGTGATCCACCCGCCTCGGCCTCCGAAAGTGCTGGGATTACAGGCGTGAGGTATGCCCGGCCGATGGTGCTGGATTTTTAGTGGAGGTCCCCTAGATCATTAATATAATTTTGTAACATTCCAACTTCTAGATTAAAAAAAGGAATACCCATAAATTACCACGTGGCAAGCCAAGTTCTTTCTGCTAGATGCTTACTATGCCTCTTTCTACTGCACTGTTGAGACAGGATGGTCTGCATAACCCAGCACTTTATCTGGCTTCCCAAGTATAACCTGAAGAAACATAACTATTCTGCTTTTTTTTTTTTTTTCTGTGATGACAACAGTTGCCTCATGATTTTCACATCAGTTAATGTAGAGGGAAGTGGTTTACTGCAGAGGGTTCAATGAGAAATAAAGAAGACATGGGAAAAACATCTGAAAAAACAACATTCTTATTTTTGAATGGATGATGAATTAGTGACTTGGGAGGAAAAAACTAAATCAAAAGTAGTGAGACTTTAAGGAAATATTTAGAACATTTCTTTGAAAGCATAAATGTGGGAGCCAGACGCTCCTGGGTTTGCATCCTGACTCTAGTGGCTATAAATTATATGACCTTTGGGGAAAGAAATGGTAGATCTTGCCAGGGGCTGTGGTAAGCAGTAGACTTCCGTGAATTATTTAATCCTCACAATCACCCTAAGGAAAAGTGAGGCTCAGAAAGGTCTAAACAATTTAAATACGTAGTAAGTGACAGAGTCAGATTCAAACCCAGGGTCATTTGATGACAAAGCAGTTATTTTCCACCAGTCTGAAAACTTTATGAGGCAGAAATCACTTCTGCTTTCTTCACATTTGTATATCCTACAGATCCATAGCAGGCTGTTAATAACTATTTGTTGAATGGACGAATTAATATATAAATGAATAAGTGAATGAACAAGTAATCTATAATGTTATTTCCAATAGACTTTATCTTTTTCAACCCTAATGTTCTCCTCTGTTGGCTCATTGTAGTTGCGCCATGAACCTTTCCATATCCCTAAAGGAAAGGCCAAGCTGATTGGCAACAGACTTAGGAGCTGGATGGTTCTGCATCATTAGTCAAAACAGACTTCCTGTTCTAGGGTAATCTGGCCAGTAGGTGATGCTGACTGAGACAGTTGAAAACACCTAGTGTCAAGTCATGGCTGGGTGTTGGTAAGCTGTACAGAGCCCCTGAGATTATTTGGATTGTTTGAAACAATCATGATCATGACATTAACATAAAAGCTGAGAAATATAGTTGGGTTGAAGGGAAAATGTCTCAGTGGAAGGAAAGGTGATTAAATAAAGAAAGAGGTATATCCCAGCCAGCTCTAAGGCCTTAAGAGCAAAACCCATCATGGTGACTAGGATAGGGTTGTTGGTGGTGGTCATGGTGGTGATGCAGATGATAACAGTAAACTATAAGATGTATGCCTTCTCTGTGCCAGTTATGATGCTAAGTATTTAACACAAACCACATTTATCTTGACAATAATCCTATGATATAGGCTTTATTTTTATCCCCCTTCAAGACTTGTGAACTCGTCAAAGGTCACACAGTTAAAGTAATAATGGTCAAGATTTAAACCCTGACCCTGCCCGATTCCGGTACCTAAGCTTTGAACCCCATGTTATTTTCCTCTAGGAAGAGGTAATTGAGGCCATATTTATCTTTCAATTAGGTTTTTTTATGTGTTCATCATCTACATTTCATTCACATGCACTTACTCAAAGTTGCTCTCACATTCTGAAGTATTTGAATATTTGACAATTTAGTGATATATTAAATTTTACTTCCAAGCATTTATAGCTGTTTTTCTTTGTTTGTGTGGAAAGTCATAAGAGCACTTCAAAATAAATTTTTATAACAGACATGCTTGAAGGTCAGATCAAGGAATCCTTGTGACATTGGGGTACAAAGAAATAGAAAAATGGGCCAGGCGCAATGGCTCACGCCTGTAATCCCAGCACTTTTGGAGGCCGAGGCGGGCAGATCACCTGAAGTCAGGAGTGAGAAGCCAGTCTGACCAACATGGAGAAAACCCATATCTACTAAAAATACAAAATTAGCCTGGTGTAGCAGTGCATGCCTGTAATCCCAGCTACTTGGGAGACTGAGGCAGGAGAATCACTTGAACCCAGGAGGCGGAGATTGTGGTGACCCAGATCATGCCATTGCACTGCAGCCTGGGCAACAAGAGCGAAACGTCATCTCAAAAAAAAAAAAAAAAAAGAAAGAAAGAAAAGGAAAAAAAAGAAAAATGGTCCACATTCTCCAGAAATTTTCACCACAGTGGAGATACAACCTATGTCAATGAAACACCTAGGAAAGCCCAGTAAATAGTAACTCAAGGGCAACATCTTCCAGCACAGACACCACTCTCTTAGCATAAGTGCTCATTGGGAGGGAAGACTAAGTAAATGACCCAAATCCACTGTGTTTGTTTGGGGAGCTTCCTGGAGGAGGTGAGTCTCTGGAGGCAACTGTGGTATAGACATACATTGGCCAAAAAGGCATGGGAGTTGGAGAGGATATTCCAACCAGGAAGGGGGTCTGAATATAGTGCTATAGTGGTTTATTTAAAATAAATTTAAAGAATATATAAACCCTGATATAAAACACTTTGAAAACTGTTAAGTATTAACGTCCTTTTAAATCAAAAATGGTTTGGTAACTTTAAGATTTAGTATAAAAGTAAACAGCTTCTGTGGTTTGAAAAAAAATCACGAATCAATCTGGATCAATGGTGGGATTTTCTCATACCACTACACACACACAATTACACAGTGCTCTGAGGAAGAGAAGGATTAGATTACTACTTGAAAATGGAGTTTCTCATCCCCACGGCTGATAGAATGACTAAGAGGCCAAGCCTTATATACACCCCTGCCGTCTCACACCTAATGCTCCAATCCTGGGCTGCTTAGGATTTTTATTAAGTAGCTACTGGAGTGTCCCAAGTCTCTTTCACTGCATAACAAATCACCCCAGCATTTAGCTGTTTAAAACAATAATCATTTTGATAATTTCTCATCTTTCTGTGAGCCAGGATTTGGGAGGACTCACCTGAGTGGTTCTTGTTTCAGTCTCTCATGAGGTTGCAGTTCAGGCAGCAACTGTTGAAGGGTGGGGCTGGAGCATCTGGGAACTCTCTGGTCCCTCCATGCAGGCTAAGTTGGGCTTCCTCATAGCATGGCGGCCTCAAAGCAGTTAACTGCTTACCTGTCATCTGAAGGCTTCAAAAGCAAGGATCCCAACTAATTGGAGAGAAGCTACATTGCCTTTTATGATGGCATCTCTGCAGTCCCACAGAATTACTTCTACCATACTGTGTGTAAGCAAGTTCCCAGCCTACTCAGATTCAGAGAGAGAGGAATTAGATTCCACCACTTGATGGTGGAGTGGTAGGATTCTAGAAGACCACATAGGATTGGAGATATGATTGTGTTCATCTTTGGAAAATGCAATCTGCAACTTAGAGGTTTTCCGGGAGAAGGGAGGAGGAGAGGCACACACATGTGGTACTCACCATTTGCTGGAGAGCTCATTTAATTTCCCCCAAATAACTGTACAAAAGGGGCATTGTTGTCCTTCTCCGTTTTATACATGAGAAAAAGGAGGCTAAGAAACCAACCTGGCTAGGATCATTCAGCTCCAGCTCTGCCCTAGGCCCCTGACAGGTGCTTTACAAACATCACCTTAGAACTTCCCCCCAGTTTACGAAACAGAGGCTAACTCACCTGGCCCCAGTGAGCAAGTGGCAGAACTAGAATTCCATCCCAGGCCTCTTCCTACTGCAGTTGCTACCTTGTAACACCTCATTCATTTGCGCCATTACCTAGGCCTCTGAGTTCTTGTATCTTTCCGGGGTCTTGGTCCTATTTGGGCACAAGTCATGACACAAATTCCACATGGTGCCTTGGAGAGAATTAGACGGACCAACAAAAGGGCCTGATCCTGCAGGAAACTGCCTTTTTCTGTTGCTCTCCCTAAGTAAAGCTGTCATATAGATTTTGTGCTGAGCTGGCCAAAAAGCAATTTGAAAAATGGCTTCCGAGATTGGCAGTGGCATTGACTTGGCAGGGAGGAAGGTAATAACTGCTCTGTTATAGATTATGCTGGAGGCCTCTGATCTCATTCCTGTCAGGCCCTGCCTTCATTCTGGGAAGCTCTATGTGAAACTGTCCGCTTTGCTCAGAACAAGAATCCTTTGACCTCATACCTTTCTTGTTTATCGTATTGCAGACCTTCCAAGGGAGAGCAGAAACAGGCTAGTCTAAGTTTAGCAACGTGGTGAGCTTAATATGGCCTTGGCAAAAAGATCTCCATACAAAGACCCTTAGTTAGTCAGCCAGGGATAGCAAGGAGACAAAATAAACTCATTTTTAAGATAATAAAAGAAAAGGGGGGAGTTATAATCTGCAATATCCTCATTCCCTTTTTACAGATGAGGAAACTGAGGCTCTCAGAGGGTAAAGTACTTTGCCCAGCAGAGACAGCTCTGCCCTGTGCAATGTGTTGTAAAGCCAGGCAGTGATGGCCAAGGGCTGACCCTTGGAGCACACAGAGCAAAAAGCCTCTTCCTGGATCAAGTCCCTGAGGGAGTTAGGCTTTTTCAGAAATCAGCTTCTCCTTTAGCCCTGAGCCTGGCCTCCTAGCACCATGGCCTGTGCAAGTCTGAGGCTATCCCAGGCTCCAGAGCCTCCAGAAACCCCTTTGGTAATAGTTTTCTGTTGACATTGAGGCTATGATGCTGTTTAAGTAGGTGAAAATACGTATTTATTATGTGAAGCACCCGGTGTATTTTCTATTCATTTCATTTCAACAAGAGTTTGTTAAACCTTTAGTACATGCACTGCTGTTTATGTAGTGGCATTATGGAAACAAAACGCAGAAAGCAATGAATACTCGAGTAACTGACAACCCAGTGAAAAACAATTGGTGCATTGCACTCGAGCCAGTGAGCACAGCCCTGGGCACCCGTGAGCAAGACGTTCTCTGGTCCCTTCATATTTTAAAAAAACAGGCATGTGCTTTAGAGCAGTTTTAGGTTCACAGCAAAGTTGAGAAGAAGGAACAGAGATTTCTCATATACCTCCTACCCTACGAGTGCACAGCCTCCCTGTGGATAGCCCCCAGCAGAGTGATCCCTTGGTTACAATTGATGAACCTACATCATCATCACCCAGAGTCCACAGCCTGCATTAGGGTTCACTCTTGGTGCTGAACATTCTGTGGGTTTGGATAAATGTTTAATGACATGTTCTCACCACTGTAGTATCATCTGAGCAGAGTAGTTTCCCTGCCCTAAAAATCCTCTGTGCTCCACTCATTCATCACTCCCTCCCCCAACCCCGATCTTTTCATTGTCTCCATAGTGTTTACCTTTTCCAGAATATCATGTAGTCAGACTCAAACAGTGTGTGGCCTTTCCAGGCTGGCTCTTTTCCATGGAGGCATTAAGATTTCCTTCATGTCTTTTCACGGCTTGAGAGCTCATTTGCTTTCAATGCTAAATAATACTCTATTGTCCAGATGTACCAGTTTATTTATGCATACGCCTCCTGAAGGACATCTTGATTGCTTCCAACTTTTGGCAATTATGCATAAAGCCGCTATCCTTGTGCAGATTTTTGTGTGGACATGAAGTTTTCAACTCCTTTGTGTAGATACCAAGGAACAGGATGTCTGGATCATATGATAATATGTTTAGTTTTGTAAGAAATTTCCAAATTGTCTTCCAAAGTGTCTGTACCATTTTGAGTCCCCACCAGCAATAAATGAGGGTTCCTTCCTGTCCTTGCCAGCATTGGATGGTTGGTCTGTCCATTTTTTAAAGCACCAATAAACTGAATTATGGTAGAAACTACTAGAGAGCCAAAAATAGTGCCAAAAATGACTCTGAGAAAAAGGCTGAATGTCAGGTCCTGTGACATCCACATGGCAGTGTGCCCCTTGTGCCCTTACTCAAAGCTACAATATTCTTGCCGGGCGTGGTGGCTCATGCCTGTAATCTCAGCACTTTGGGAGGCTGAGGCATGTGGATCACCTGAGGTCAGGAGTCAGAGACTAGCCTGGCCAATGTGGTGAAACCCCGTCTCTACAAAAAACATAAAAATTAGCCGGGCTTGGTGGCTGGCACCTGTAATCCCAGCTACTTGAGAGGCTGCGGCAGGAGAATCTCTTGAACCTGGAAGGTGAAGATTGCAGTGAGCCGAGATCGCGGCACTGCACTCCAGCCTGGGCAACAGAGCCAGACTCCATCTCAAAAATAAATAAATACATAAAAATAAAATCAAAGCTACAATATTCTCATTCTACACAAAATGCTAGTAAGCTAGTTTTCTATTTTCCCAGCCCACTAAAATTTGGAAGCTTTAAAGAGTCAGAGACACTAAAAATATAAAACAAAAATACATGCCTTAGCCTGTTTGCAAATAAGTTAACAAATATGTAACCCTGTGTACTTTGGAGACACAACTACACATCAACTTGTCTAAACAGGTGTTTATAAGAATGACCTAAAAACACTGGCTGAAAGAATGAAACTGTATTCAAGATGCCACAGCTATTAGAAATTGGGGATATTATAAGTCCCTGCCTTACAGATTTTTGGTTAGAATTAAATGAAATCTGTGTAAAATGCTTAGCACAGTGTTTGATACCTAGTAAGTGCTGATCATATTGGCTGCTGTGTAATGACGAGAATGATGATGGTGGTAACGATAATACACCAAGGGATTAGAGAGTCAGAAGGAGGAGTAGAAAGGAAGAGTATTGTAATTCCTCAGACATTTATTGAAATACTCTTATGTCCCAAGGTGAATTCATAGGTAAATGACACACATAATTCCTATTCTTGGAAAGGTCCTTGTATAGCATATTATAAGATTATAGTTGAATGTGATAAAAGTTATAATACATTGACTAATAAAAGCGGCGTGATGACATAGGTGAGGAAACTGTTAATTTTGACTACAAGATTAGGAAAAACTACAGGAAACAGTTGAGCTGGGCTTGAAAGATTTCGCTATTTGGTAAGGGATAGGCATTTCAAGGAAGAACATTCCAGGCAGACGAAACAGACTTTAAACAAAGGCAGGGAGACCGAGAAGCCATGACACAGTTAAGCATGTAGACTAGGGTAAATTCAAAGACTGTGCAGCAAAGAGCTGAGCTGGAAATGCTCCCAGGGCCACTTTATGATTGCCTAGCATATCACTGCAAGGAGTGTGGATTCCATTTGAAAGGCAGTAGGATGCTATTAAAAGTTTTAAGCTGAGAAGCTATATGATTAAATGTCTGCTTTGACACATGCTCACACTGAAGGCAGGGTAGAAACTGAACTCAAGTGGTCAGAAAGTGGAGTCAGGAGGGCCAGGCAGGGGTGCTCGTGATAGTTTGGGTACTGGCTGAGGCCCTGCCACTTGAGAAAAGGTGACAGGTAGACTTGATAAGATTGAGGGGTCTATTAGGAGGGCTAGGGGAAATGGGCAGAGAGAGAGGATGTGTAGAAAGTAGAGTCAAGTCAAGATAAGACTTTGGGAGCCTGAGCTTGGGCAACTGGGGCAACACAAGGAAAGAACTTTTTACAAACCTGAGATTGATGTTTTAATGTTCATGATCCTCTAGTGGCAAGAAAGAAGTTGAATCTTTAATACTATTTCAATTCCAGGCTTATTTGATGTTTTATTGTTCCACCCAAGAGATTACCACTTGAATTATGCCATAGGGCTAGAACCAAATTAATATAATTTATTTTTCTAAAATGTGCAAGTAGGGATAGACAAATTTGTTCCCCTAAAATAAATTCTAACCTCAAAATGGCCATATATAATCCAGGGCTTGGCCATCTAATGTGATAACCACTAACCACATGTGGCTACTGGGCACTTGAAATGTGGCTAGTCTTATTTGAGATGTGATGAGGGTATAAAACACTTACCAATATTCAGATATTCAGTATGAAAAGAATACATAATATTTCATTAATTTTTATATTGATTACATATTGAAATAATGTTTTGGGTATATGGGATTAAATAAGATATATTACAAAAATAATTTCCCTTAAAAAATTTTAATATGACTACTAGAAAATTGAAAATTACATCTATGGCTCACATTGTATTTCCTCTTTTTTTTTTTTTTTTTTTTGAGAGAGATAGCATCTTGCTTTGTTGCCCAGGCTGGAGTGCAGTAGTACAGTCGTGGCTCACCGTAGCTTTGACCTCCTGGGCTCAAGGGATCCTCCCACCTCAACCTCCCCAGTAGCTGGAATTACAGGTGCACACAACCAGCTAATTTTTTAATTTTAAAAAAAATTTTTTATAGCAACGGGGTCTTGCTATGTTGCCCAGACTGGTCTCAAACTCCTATTCTCGCCTGGCCTCCCAAAGCACTGGGATTACAGGATTGAGCCACCATGCCTGGCCCCACATTATATTTCTATTGAACAGTGCTGGTCTAAGAAATTTGAGATTTGCAGTGCCAGTATTTAAGGACTATGTACAGGCCAAGGGTATATTTTTTATTACTGCATCCTCCTCCCATTACTGATGAATGTCTCACCACCTGATGTTTTCTAACACCTTCCTATGTGTCTTTATTCTTATTAAGAAAGAAGTTACTGTAGCAACGGCCACAATAGCTTGTATTTACTACACCTGGAGGGAGAGACATAAACAGACATCAATCTGTCATTCAGGTTTTCAGGTTTACACATTAATATTTTTCTCATGTCTATCTGGGTTTTCCTCTGCAAAGCGGAACACCAAGAGTAGGAGACCCGTCTTCTAACTCCCGCCTATGACACTGGCTTCTCTGGGTCTCCATAAGAACAGTCATTACCCCATGCTGACCTCAGGGGGGTATGTGGATAGATAGTTACAAAGTGTTTTGAAAGTGATTCTTAGGGTACTGTATCTGTCTAATGTCACATATTTTAACATGAAAATAGTATCTAACATTACTTACAATAGTGGAGGAAGGCAGGAGGGAGAAAGTAGTTTCCTCTGGTGATTATGGGCTGGGAAGATCCAGGAGAGAGAAAAGGAGTGAGACTAGAAAAACCCATACAAGGCTGACCAACATTAGCATTTGTTCTCATCAACATAAATAGTTCTTTTCCTGTATTCAGCAACAAGCCTCCGCTGGCTGGGAGAAGATTGGGAGCCGAGAGCTATGCAGATAGTTCATCTGCGCTTTGACATGGAAAAAGCAAATGGGCTGGAGTGTTTTTTAACTTGATCGTCGTATTGTGTGATGCTTTAGGTGTTACCCTCATTGATTGCCACTTAAGTTCCACTCATGGGTCGATTCTGTTTGAACATGCTTGCTCCTTAGTGGGTATCATCTGGACAGAGATAACAGATGCTAAGACAGGGACTGGGGGCATTGAGGAATTATTACTATTACCTTCACCTAGGACAGGCGTGGCTTCAAAATGTCTATCTAGAGTGGCCTGAGGGGTTGCAATATGGTTGAAAGTGGAGACTGGGAGCTTGCCCTTTCAGAAATGTTTGCCTAGCAAAGCAAGATGTTGTCCCTTGGGCATTATGCTTATTTGAGGTGGCTGGAGAGGGTTTATGAGGATCGAGGTCAGGGCAGGGGTTTTGGCTCAAGACCCCTCAACCCAAGCCACCCCTTTGGCATTTCACGGAAATGTGGCAAAAAATAATAGAAGATTCTCGGTTTTAGGTTTTATTTGCACATGTTTTATAAATCTACCTGAAGCTTTTCAACTGACGACGCACTTGATCATTTGAAAATCCATTCAGCGCCTTATCCCACCTACAGAGAACCATCCTAAAAGAAAATCAGGAAAGCTGCTACCGTCCCATCCTGAGAAATTCCCACTCACTCCTCATGGGCATTTGGGAGGTCCTCTACTCAAGAATTGAACCGAAGGGAACTAAAGTGCATTGCAAAAATGCAGTCCTTCCAGGGAAGGTTCAAGGAAAGTTAATTGTCATTGTGTCGCGTTTTGAGGTCTTCCTCCCTCTTCCCTTCCTAGGGGGCGGGGTGGGGTGGATGATGCTGGGGGGTGGGGGAAAGGGGAGGCAAGTGTGGTTTTCCGATCAGCGATCTAATAGCAGTTAGAATTATATAATGGAACTGCCCTGAGTCAGGTGACGGGATCACTGAGTAATTCCCTGCAGAAGGAGACAAACTGCATGTTAAAAAGCTCAACAAATACTCAAAAAAAAAAAAAAAAAAAAGCCCAGGCTGTGAGTTCCAGACTTCCAAGCTGCATTTCCTCTGAATCCTCTCCAGGCTGAAACAGCTGTACAGGCTTGCTGAGTCAGAAGACTCCCAGAGATTGGGGACGGCCGAGGCAGGTCGGGGGTCTGGTTTGGATCCCCGGGTTACTTTCTGTTTCATTTTGAAATGTTCCCTGTTTCTGCAACCGGTTGCCTCCAATGTCAAGTAAAACGCAGGACTCCTTGGAGACGCCAGCTGGGCTTCTAAGGACTGGGGCTCTGTGAAGGTAAGAGGCAGTCTGTGCCCCACCGGCTGGAGGCTGCCACTTTAGAGACGTCTGAGTACCCGCAGGTCACACCCAGGAGGGGTTGGTGTGCCTGCCAACTGTTCTGGGCTCTGAGTGAGGCTGGAGAGACCATCGTGGAGGCGGTTTTAGGTTAGAAAAGGGATAAAATGGACCCTTCATGCCAGATGGGTGGCCACCTAGTCCACGGTGAGTTGAATCCATCCCCCGACTTTGGTTGACACCCTCCCCTTCTCCATTCCATCCCACGTGGGAGCTGGTCAGCGGCCAGGGAATTGGCACGGCCGGGAAGGAAGGCGAAGGGGCTGCCTGGCACCGAGAGGCTGCATGGGCGTGTGTAGCATGTGTATTTTCAGAGCCCGACACTTGAGGAGACTGTTGCTCAATTTAAGAAAGCACAGCTATTGGAAAGCCAGGAAACAGACCCAGAGAGGCGGATGCATGTGGGAGCAAAGAGCTTTGGGCAGCCTTTAAGGTAGGCATTGGCGTCTGAAATCATGTTATTGCCTTTTGTTTATTTGTTAGATGGATTTTGTATTGGTTTTATGCTTTGTTCGGTTTAGAGAATTTTCCTTTGATGGAGCTGCCAATATCAATAGATTTGGTTTTGAAATCCTCGGGCCGGGTTCATAGGATAGGCTGGAGCCCACGGTGTTAGTGTAGATGCCTCAAAGTCAGAAGAGATGGATACAAAACTGGTGATGATTTTCAAAGGAGATTCACTTGCAAATCTCACTGCAATGGAGACTTGCTGGGAGTCCTGGTGCCTGCTGAGGCAGGCAGCTCTTAGGAACCTCAGGAAGTTTCTGACTTAAAGAGACAGGAAAGGAAAAATTGAATCCGCAGCTGTTATTTTGGGGAAAGTGGGTTCAGGGAGAATTTGTGGCTGAAGAAAAAGGAAAGACGACTTGGAAAATAAACGGAAACATAAGGGATAGGCTTGGTGGGATTCCAGCTTGGGGCAGTGGCATTTTGAGGCTTGCTGCGTGGAGATAGAAATCAATACGGGAACTGATAACAGCTCACTCAGCATGAATAAGAAATGCTACATGGATTCTTTTAACACTGACTTCTAAAGAGCCTGAGAAATAAACAAGATGTTAGTTTGAAAGAGTTCATTTCTAATTGTTATTTCTTTTTTATTGTTTGGCCCCATGAGCTGCTCTAAACAAAATATGGTGATGTTAGAACCAAAAGGAAAGTGTCCTTAGAATAATATCTACAAAGAGGCATTCAAGTTTTCACTGCCTTTCCTTCTTTTTCTGCCCTTCTCTCAGTTTGGGCAAATTATATGAGTTGAATGTATCTGATAGAAACAACTCTTTAAAGAGGGGTCGGGCACGGTGGCTCACGCCTATAATCCCAGCACTGTGGGAGACCAAGGCAGGTGGATCACTTGAGGTCAGGAGTTCAAGACCAGCCTGGCCAACATGGTGAAACCCTGTCTCTACTAAAAATACAAAAATTAGCTGGGTGTGGTGGCACACACCTGTAGTCCCAGCTACTGGGGAGCCTGTGGCATGAGAATAGCTTGAACCCAGGAGGCGGAGGCTGCAGTGAGCCCAGATCTCACCACTGCCCTCTTGCCTGGGTGATAGAGTGAGACTTTATCTCAAAAAAAAAAAAAAAAAAAGAAAAGAAAAAAAAAAGAAAAGAAAACAGAAACAACTCTTTAAAGTGGTACAATTATCTTTTAAGAGGATATTTGTATATCGGAATTAAAAAATGATCTTAAATCTGTGGTTCTTAAATCTTCAAAACCATGGTCCATATTTGGGAAGCAAAAAGACTGTGGATCATGAATTTTTAGTCTTTTCTCTACTGTGGCCCTATCACTCCCATCTCTTCTGATGCTCAACAAACAAAACTAAACAACAAAGCTAAAAAAGCATAACAAAGTTTTTCACTAAAGCCCACACTTGAAATGTAGATGCTATAGTATTACAAATATTCATAATATAAAAGAACAGCTCATAGAGCCCCTTTTTAAGGCCATGGCAGTCCCTCGAGAAAACACTGCTTAAATAATTAATATCAGCAGAGTGAGTTCCTTTTATCTGGATTTCCATCTGTTGAAACTTGCTGGAAACCTACCTTTCTACACTTCAATAATATCATGAGGACTGAGATTCATGAGGATGACCTCCAGGTACTACAAGGCTCTTTAGTGCCTCCCAAATCACAGAAGATAACAAGATGCTCAAAATAGTTTTGGTTTTGAGTGCATTGCCTTCCACTCTAATTCTCTAAAATTTGCTCCTCTGCATAGATCATGGTGCCCACATTTTCTATATCAAGGACCAGGACTTGTGATCTTACAGAGGACTTTTATGTTGCTTTCAGTGTGAGAAACAGTCTGAGAAATGCAGTTTGGATGCCAGGTTTTGTTCATTTCTGGGATAGTCCAACATTTATGGGACAACTGGTGAAATAGGACAGATTTTGAAAATTCAGTCTTTATGGAAATCAAGGTGCTTTGATTAAAAGCTTCAGTTTTTTTTAGTTCGGTTGACTGAGGTTTGCATTCCAATTCTGCTACCTTTTCAGTGAGTGACATTGAGAAAGTTTGTTGATCTTTCTAAGGCTCAGTTTCCTCATCCATAAAATTGGAGAGTAACATTGCTTTACCTCACAGGCTGTATGGGAAGTAAATTATATAGAACATCGCGTAGTGCTGTGCCTGGCACACTTAGTGCCTGAAAAAGTACTTGCTATTATTGTTGTTATCATTTATGGTGTCTAGTGACCACAAAGTACTTGAAACACCAGGTCACTTTTTCCCTTGAATGTGCCAGTGAGTAAAGAATATGTGTGAAACTTTAGCTCACATTTGTGCTCCTACAAATATTTTGGAATTAATTCAATAACACTTGTATTTCTCTAGATGAGAAGGCACGAGTGTCTGCGTGTTTTGGACAGAAGGGTCAATTGAACTGGTTTAAGCCACAGAGGGCATCAGTGGCAGCACCAGATAAACAACATTTGTCCCCAGACTCCCTGCACTCTACCACTGGGTCACAGCGACCCCACACCAGGGAGGGTCCAACAAGGACAAAGTAGCCCTTGTCTCCGGACAGCCCCAAACACCTTCTAATGGATGTAGTGGGTTTGATTTTTCCTGCCTCAGCCATGCTATAAGTTGTGATTCTGCCCTTTTCTCATCCTGAATCTGATGGGCTCAGGGATCCTGTAGGCTTTTACCCGACTTGGAAAATTCCCGCAGATGGGCTATAGTGATCCATGACTATACAATTCCAAGCCTCCACTAGGGACAACACAGAATCTACTACCCTTAAATGGCCCCTTAATGACTGTGTTTGTATTTTCTTTTTGCAGTCTCCTAACATGGGGATTTAATGCCTCTCATAAAGCAAACTCCTGATCGTATACTGTAAAGTCCAAAGACAGTAGCATAATTACTCTAAAGGGTAAAGATGCCAAAGGCCCTTAAGTTTGGCATTCCATGAGTATTCAGCTTCCTACAAAGTTCAGGATCCACAGTTGCAGGGAAAGGGTTTCCTAAAAGGTTCTCTAGGTATAGGTTGAGCTTCTTAGGAAACTAACTGGATAAAAAAATCTCTCCTGGAACTTGTCCTAAAGAAGGCAGAGTGAAAAATAGTGTAGGGTGTCTTCTAAGAAATCCATGACAAAGATAACACAAATGTCTAAAATTAAGAGAAACAAAAAAAAGTAATCCAACAGAATACAGAAAGATGAGAAACAAGTTTCAAAAACAATTGAGATGGAAAAACACCCAAACTTGGGTATATTCTAATGCTAGGGAAAAAGAAGAAGGAGTGGAATGTTGGAGAAGCAGCAGGGAAAGCGGTATTGAAAGACTTGGTTATAAATTCATGTGCCCTGGGTAAATCATGCCATTGAGTCAGTTTCTTCACTTAGAAAATAGTAAAAATAATTCCTACCCTACTGTCAGGTTATTGAAGAGCAACATATGATATCCTGTGTCCAAACTGAAAGGAAGACAAGAACCTAAAGTACAAACTTGTGTTGATAACTATTTGGGATTAAAGAAATTGACCTCCCAAAGAAGGAATATGTGTGTTACTGAAAACCAGGATTTTCTTATAGATAGTAATGAAGAAAATCACCTTGGATAGTCCATAGCTGATGTATTGGTTGGCTAAGGCTGCCATAACAAAATACTACTGGGTAGCTTAAACAATAGAAATTTATTTTCTCACAGTTTTGGAGGCTGGAGGTCCAAGACTGAGGTACTGGTAAGGTTGATTTTTCCTGAGGTCTTGCTCCTTGGCTTGTAGATGGCCACGTTCTCACCTCATCCTCCCACATAGTTGTCCCTTAGTCTGTGGGTGTCTGTGCCTTAGTCTCCTTCTCTTTTTTTGTTGTTTTTGTTTTTGGTTTTGAGTCAGGATCTGTCTCTGTCACCCGGGTTTGGGTGCAGTGGTGTGATCTCAGCTCTCTGCAGCCTTGATCTCCTGGGCTCAAGTGAACCTCCCACCTCAGCCTTCTGTGTAGCTGGGACCACAGGGGTATGACACCACCTTAGCTAATTTCTTTATTTTTTAATTTTTTGTAGTGACAGAGTCTCGCTACGTTATCCAGGCTGGTCTCATACTCCTGGGCTCAAGTGATCTCACTCCTTGGCCTCCCAAAATGCTGGGTTGAGCCACTGTGCCTGGCCCTAATCTCTTCTATAAAGACACCAGTCATATTGGATTATCCCTCACCCTTATGACCCCATTTAACCTTAATCATCTCTTTCAAGGCCCTTTCTCCAAATAGAGTCACATTCTGAGGTCACATACTAGGGGTCAGGGCCTCAACATATGAATTTAGGAGGGAGCACAATTTGGCCCCCAACAGCTATCAAGTTAATGAAGAAAACTCATTAAAAATGCATTCTTCTTGTTTTAGGAATTGATCAGATCCATTAGGGAACATGGTACAGCCTTAGAAGAAAATGGTATCACCAAACTGCTGTGAGGAGACTCCAGGAAAGGCAGCCTGGTAGACCTGGGCCAAGCTTCCAGAGAAGCTTGACTCTCTAGAGTATATTAATCTCAAGGGAAAGGGAGGACCTTGTTTTATTGACTTCCACCTGGGCATTCTGTCAAAGCACTGGTAGATTGTACCTAACAAGTTTTGCAGCTCTGTGGTGACAGCTGTTCTTGGAGAATGGATTTAACATAGTTTTGAATTAGATGTTCCTTTGAGGTCAAAAGGATTACGGCATGTCTCTGGATAATTTCCCACTTCCTTTCACTGTTTCATCACTTACAGGAAGATTGATCCTGTCATCCAGGTTCCTGCCATGTTCTGCAGAATCAAGCATGGCCTTCTCCATTTCTTCAGTCAGTCCCCAGCTCTCCCTGTCTCCATTCAGCATGAACAGTGATATTCAAGGATATGGTTACTTGAAATACACACACCTCAGCACATGCATGCACACACACACACATACACATTGATTTATATATTTTTGAAACAGAATTGGTCAGTAGAGAGGAAGAGGATTTGCAAGGGGTATTTACAAGTCACTTCCTTTCTAAATGTTGGATCTCAGAATTCAGAGAAAGAGACAGGAAGTCCAGCTCATAGCTGAGGTATTCTCACAAATATGGGAAGTGCAGAGGAACTGACGCTTCTTCCAAATTAACAGACTTGAAAAGGCATGGACGAAAAAGTAATAACAAGAGTAGAGCAGGTGATTTGCAGGCGCCCACAGATGAGGGTGAGCCTGCTCACTGCTTCCTCTTCCCCTCCACAGCTGCACCGTTACCGGGACCATTTGCACACTTTGGTAAGGCATAGACCAGTTCCCTGGTAGCAGCCTGGATCCTCCATTCAAACAGGAAAATGCAACATAAAGGGGGAAATCATTCAGGCAAGACATGTACTTTGATTTTCTTTAAAAAAAAAAAACAAACCAACTGACGATGGTGAAAAAAATATATTAGGAGGAACAAAGGAGCACACATTTAGTAACTTGTAAAACACCCTGCCATGTCTTTCTTCATTAAAAATACAGTATGCCTCCAGTGCCCAAGAAGGATTTGTTCCCTGGGAGTTATGATCCGGGCGTTTTGATTCCCACCTCCTGATTCTCACAAACAGGAACATACTCAATCATGAGTAGACAGACTTACCCTCTACCAGGCTCCATTTCAGAGGCAGAGAAGCAACAGGTTAGTGTACAAAATTAGTTTGCCCAAGCTTCAAGCTATTTGGATGCAGTGAACTCGCCAAGTGTGAAGTGCTCTTGTTGTTATTAGAATGAGGCTGTTGAAAGACCCTGTGATGTAATTCAGAGTATGTTGGCACCTGTATTATTTAGCTCTGATTTCAAGGTTCATAACTTGCCCAAAAAAGGGCCTGGAGGCTGAAAATGTTTAGGACAAACGTTCAGAAACAAGTCACCAGACTTTAAGAAAACTAGTTAATATTGGCTCCCTTTGGCTTTAGTATAAATTACGAACTCTCTTTTTAATTTAAAGTTGGTTTGTTCATATGTAGAATTTCTCAAGTAAAAAAAAATGTGTTTTTATAAATATCATGTCTTTTTCAGTAAAGCAAAGCCAACTACCTTGTGAGTATTTTTGTTATTGTATTTAATCAGTAAGCATTTATTATCTACTGTTCTAAAGACAAGGTATTGTGCAAAGAGTTCCGCAGTATATGAGAAAAGGAATCAAAGCTACTCATACCTATTCAGGGAAATAAAACATGTACATAAAATTTTAACAAAATATAGAAAATGACAGCTTCCATGAGAACAGAAAAAAAAGATTATTGAGGATGATAAGAGGGAGATATTAATTCTGGCTAGAAAAGGCTTTAGAGATGTTTTTAACCTAAGAGTCTTGAGAGCTGAATAGGTATATTTTAATACAGGAGAATGGGGAACAGAAAGAGGGAGGCAGGAGACATTTTCAGCAAAGGAAGGAAAGTAAGTGGAATGCCAATTCACAGGGGAAGGCACGCCTGGAGTGTACATGAGGCATGGTGGCCAGGCCAGTTTTGTTGAACGAGAGGGTAGAGAGAAAGGGACCGATGGTAGATGCATTGAAAAGAATTTGAATACCAAGCCCAGAAGTGACATGGTCAGAGTTTAATCTATGTGTTAGGTGGAGTGAATGGAAGTTGATGGGGGCACCATCAGTTACAAATGCAACTGCAGCAGTGGAGAACATAATGGTAATAAATAATAATGATAATAAATAATAATAATAGCTCTCACTTGTTAATTGCCTAGCAGTTACTTCTTAGATTATGTCCTTTAATCTGCACAGCAAGCCTGCATGGTAGGTACAAATACAGCTGTTCCTCATTTTTCCAAGATCTGTTTAGGTACAAACACAGTCTTTCCTTGATATCCATAGGGAACCACAGTGCAGGTTCCTGGACACCTCCACTCTGTCCCGCAGTCCCACTACCCCCGCCATGCTCAAGTTCCTGATAGAAAATAGTGTCCGTAGTATTTGCATATAATCTATGTACATCCTCACACACAGTTTAAATCATCTCTAGCTTACGTATAATACCTAATAGAATGTAAATGCTATGTAAATAGTTGTTATACTGTATTGTTTATTACATTTGTGTTATTTTTACTGCTGTATTGTGATTTTTTATTTTTTCCTCACATTTTGAACCCCCCCATGGATTGAACAGAGGGCTGGCTGTACAGTCAATCCTCATTTTTCTTGGAGTCTGCTTTTGCAAAATTTGCCTACTCACTAGAATGTATTTGTAACCCCAAAAATCAGTCCTTGTGGCGTTTTCACAGCCATTCACAGACATGTGCAGAGCAGCGAAAATTTGAGCTGAGATGGAACAAAGTGAGGCTCTGCCTCCCTGTTTGAGCTCTCATCCTGTTGATGTGTCTTTTTCACAGTCTATTTTGTGCCTTTTTTTTTTTTTTTTTGCATTTTGGTGCTTTTTGTTGGTGGTTTTGCTGTTTAGAATGGCCCCAAGCGTCATGCTGAAGTGCGATGCAGTGCTTCTAACTTCAGGGAAGCTGTGACGAGCTTTATGGAGAACATACAGTGAGCGTGGCTCAGGCATGAGTGATAGTGCTGTTGGCCGTGTGGCTTCAATGTTGATGAATCAACGGTATGTGTTAAATCCGGCATGGTTCAACAGAAACAAACAGAAAACCAAAGGTACGTACAGGTGGGCTGAAGAAAACGTGCTCACGGAGACGTCACCTTGCATTTCCTCCAGTAACAATGTTTCAGTATTCACTACTTCAGTGTTCACAGTGACTTTATGAGACAAAACTGCCATAAATAGTGAGACTCTGTTAGTTATTTCCTTCCCACAGAAAAGTAAACTGAGGCTTGGAGAAATAAGAAACTTGTCGGAAGCTGCACAGCTAGCATGAACTCAGACTGGAATGTCATAAATGGCACACATTTCTAAAGACATTAAAGGGCCCGGACATGGCGGTGGCAAGGAATGGAAGAGAGGAGGCAAAGTATAAATGATTGAGGGAGTAGAATCAATAGGCTTTGACCACTGACTGCACAAGTGGAGGGCTACGAGGAGGAAGGGGTGCAGGAGGACCCTGAAGTCAGGTGAAGGTGATGGAAGGTTGAGTCTGGAGGGCCTGAGAGTCAAGGTTGCAGGGAGGGTAGGAAGCAGCTCCAGCAGCAAGTAAGGACTCAGGCTGGGGGCAGACGGGCCAGCTGTTACTTCCTGAGCACTCACTGTGTTCTAAATGCTGCTGAGAGACTCTTGCTAAATGATGTCATTGAATCCTCACGACCCTATAAGAGAGAAAGAGGGACTATTATACCCATGTTACAGATGAGGACAGTGAGGCTCAAAGAAGTAAAGTAACTTGTCCCTGGACATCCTGCTGATAAAGCACAGAACAGGGAATGCAAACCCAGGCAAGGGGACCCTGGCTGGTTGTGATCACAGTGAGACATTTTGGAGTTTCAGATCTTGGAGGAAGAGAAGCACTAATGTTAATGATACCTGACCTTGTTCTCTAGTTTCTTGTTTTTATTTTTACTTTTTCCAACATTCTCCTTACACCACATATTTTTCTACCTTCATGTTTTTGTTCAAATTCTTTTCTCCCACAGGAAGGTTGTTCTTCTCTTCTGGCCTTTAGGTTTTCTTGTTTTGTTTTGTTGATATTGCAAAAGGGTGGTTAAAATGATTTGGTAGCTGAAAAAATTGGACATTTTATTTGTGTTATGTTATATTGTGCTGTTTAGTAAAAATATGTGAAATTTCAGTGTTTCCTAGAATATAATATATATTACTGAGAAGTGACTCTTGCATTTCACATTAATGGAGCTACAGGTGACTTACAGATGTGCTCGTGAACAGAGGAGAAGCATGCTTATGCTATTTTTCCACTAGATTTGGATAAGCTGGAATAAAAAGATATGGTCCTCATTTTACATTTCATCTCTGATATGAATTATCTCTGAACCTTTTTAAAGACCTGAAGTCTCTCTTTATGTTTCCCAAATTTGTATTGCTGAGAATTATTTGCCCATGTTCCTGAGATATTACAAAATTAAAAAATCCTCAATACTTAAGTATTAAGGGCTGTTCCCACAGCCCTTTTAGTACTGTTCTTATGGATAAAAGTGTTTCCAAATACAGCAAATGTTTCATCTTCATATATTAAAAAATGTGGACAATACATAAAACTCTTATCAGAATATTGGGCTCCTTCCTTGTTTCTCAAATGGCCCTCCAAGATGTCCAAGGAGGTGAGCATTCTTTCTGACCACATGGAAGGTGCTCTCTCCAGAGCTGTGGCACTCCATTAAAACAACTCTGCCCACAGAGTTCAAATGCTGAGGGTTGCAAGAAGAAAAGTAAGCTTGAATCTTTGTAGGTAAGTGGAAAAGAGTTCTCCTACAAGGGAGTCTCTATTCTTTGAAATAACCCAAATCTGAAACCCTTCATTTATAAATTAAAGAAGAAACCTGCTGAACTACACTGAAACCAGGGAGAGAGAGAAAAGCAATGTTGCTGGCAACTGTGCTATATACTCAGTCAACTGTAACTCTTAGGTGAGTAAATCCTGCATGTGTGTAGAGATCTGGTAGTGTAGAAACAAAGGCTATGACAAAGAAACCTAAGAAATCTTTGATCTCTTCTTAAACTTCCATTCCCTAGAAATGGAACTGGGAAAAGTGAAGCCGCATTTGATTCCACAAACACTTGCAACCATCTTTCAAGTATCCTGGACGGAATCAAGTCCAAAGTGTGCTTTGCCAAACCCAAGGGAAATTCACTCCATATGTTTCTGATTCATGTATAGTTTAATCATCAAAATATTGTTTTGCAAGGACTAGTTTTGTCCAAGAAAGCTTTTATGAGCCATTTGAAAACACTATCTTGAAAACAGGAAGTTCCGTTTTGCCAAGAGCTAACAGACGCCTGAGCAGAGGCTCTGGATTTGGTTGTCGGGGCAGAAGCCCTGGATACCGAGATTTCCAACATGGCAGAGCTGGCTTTATAATTCCTTCGGGGAGTCTGTGTTATGTGCCCTCTCCACTCACCAGAATTATAGAACTCTTTCAGGGAAAAGAACCCAAGGGAAGGGTGATCACGGGCTTCCATGATTTCCACTCAAACTCATTGCCCTTCATGGAATCGCATGCCCGCTTCCCCCCACATTCCATTTGCTAAATGATGGTTCAGAGATAACTTCTCTACTGAAATCATGTTGGCATTGTAGCCGTTAAAAGCCTAAGGTAGAATTTCACAAATGAGCTTGGAAAACAGCAGCTTCAAAGGAGCTATTGACTCCAGGAAAAGGAAAAGCAAAATTCTCTTTCTTCCTGAGTTTCTTTAATTTTTTTTCATGGCAAAATATGCATAACATGAAATTTAGCATCGTGACTATATTTAGGTCTTCAGGCTTGTGGCATAAAGTACATTCACAGTATTGTGCAACCATCACCACCATCCGTGCCTCTCCAGAACTCTTCATTTGCAAGAGTGAAACATTTGCCCGTTAAACAATAACTTTTCATTCACCCTCCCCTCAGCCCCTTGAAAACATCATTCTACTTTCTGTCTGAATTAAGGAGTAACTAAATTCATCTGGTGATGTGAGCTTTTTTTGTCACTAAAATGCGAAAGGACTTTTGTTGTGTGGATTCTTGTTCAAGGGATATTGGATATATAGTAGGAAAATGTCTTTGATGATTTGATGAGAATTGTATAATTGACACAAATGGACTCCACTGATCCCCAGGCAAATCATGAAACTAGAGTTCAATGAAGGCATTTCACCAGGGAGTTCTGCTGCTGTGCTGCTTTTTGATGATCTGATAGTAAAAATGTATAGAATCTTCTTTTAAAAAAGAAAGAAAGAAAGAAAGTGGTTATCAAACTTTCAAATGCATTAGAATCTCCCGGGGATTCTGTTAATCCACAGATTCTGACTCAGCAGGTCTGAAGTGGGGCTCAAGATATTACATTTCTAACAACCTCCCAGGTGATGGTAATGCTGCTAGTCCATGCACCACACTTGGAGAAACAAGGTTCTAGAAGAGTGGTTCATGACCCTCGACAGCCTTTTAAAAATTCTAACTCAGATATTCTGGGTGGGACTTGGGCATAGGTATTTTTAAAGTACCTCAAGCAATCCTAATGTATAGCTAGCACTGAGAAGCTCTGACCTGGAGAAATTGAGCTAATATTTTTAGTCTGCCTCTCTTAAAATCAGATATCTTATCTGAGTCGCTGAGTATTGGATTGCAGGGAATTCATACTTGACTTCTCTAGTAAAAGCCTTAAGTGGCTATTTCTGTGTTCCTGATAAAAGAAAGAGCCAAATGCTTTAGATTCCAAATACACTAACTACAGAGTTGACATTCAGCTATGAAAATCTAGCAACCTGTCTTGTATTTTCACCCCTGCCGAGGGTATTCCTAGGCCTGATATGGTGACTCATGCTTGTAATCCCAGCATTTCAGGAGGCCAAGGTAGGAGGATCACTCGAGTCCAGGAGTTTGAGACCAGCCCAGGCAATGTGGTGAAACCCCAGCTCTACCAAAAATATATGCTTAAATACTTAGACACATAATTGAGAACTCAGAATCTTGCACCAAAAAAATATCAGGAGAAAATATTATCTTAAAAATGTTAAGAACAGGACAGGTGCAGTGGCTCACGCCTGTAATCCCAGCACGTGGGGAGGCCAATACAGGCGGATCACTTGAGGTCAGGAATTGGAGACCAGCCTGGCCAACATGGTGAAACCCCATCTCTACTAAAAATACAAAAAATTAGCTGGGCATGGTGGCACGCGCCTATAATCCCAGCTACTCAGGAGGCTGAGGCAGGAGAATTGCTTGAACCCAGGAGGTGGAGGTTGCAGTGAGCCGAGATCATGCCACTGCACTCCAGCCTGGGTGATAGAGTGAGACTCCATCTTAAAACAAAAAACAAAAAACAAAACAAAAACCACAAATGTTGAGAACAAATGTTACAATCCACTTGTCTCTAGCATAAAATAAATGTAGTATTGCTTCTGCGAACATCTGATTCTGCTTTTAACTGCGTCCTGATGGATCTTCTTGGATGAGTCACCTGCAAAGTGCACCTCTAAGAAGCTGAATGTGCTGTCTGTGGTTGGGGTAATTAAATACTGTGGACTTAAACATTAGAGAATGCCTGCCAAAGACAATTATGTCAGTTTAGCTTAATTGAGACTAAACTTCTCTTCCTCACAATAATTAGCCAACAGGAGCAGTTATTTTTAAGGCCACTCCTAATTTCTGATAATAAAACTATGGCAACATAGAAAAGAATGTGTCCCTGTTTATTCTGGCAGATGGATGCAGACCCAATTTAGCTAATAAACATATCAACTTATTTAAATATTAAACCCAAAGGGAGAAGACTTCAGTGCACAGCAGTATTTTAGAATTTAAATCTAATCCACCAAAAAGCCATTCTTGGCCCGGCGTAGTGGCTCACGCCTGTAATCCCAGCACGTTGTGAGGCCGAGGCAGAAGGTCAGGAGATCGAGATCATCCTGGCCAACATGAAACCCTGTGTCTACTAAAAATACAAAAATTAGCCAGGCGTGGTGGTGTGTGCCTGTAGTCCCAGCTACTCAGAAGGCTGAGGCACGAGCATCGTTTGAACGCGGGCAGCAGAGGTGGCAGTGAGCCGAAATCTCACCACTGCACTCCAGCCTGGGCAACAGAGCAAGACTCTGTCTCAAACAAACAAGCAAACAAACAAAAAGCCATTTTTATTTACCCCATCTTTTTTGCCAGCAGTATTATGATGACAGGCTCTAATTAAACATTACAATTAATTAAAAATTAGAATGAAAGATGTTGATGCCATATAAACATTTCCCATTTTATGCCGTGGGTAGCTCATGTGCATGAACCAAAGGCTGACCAAAAACAATCATCATTGCCAATGTCTTCTTAACCATTTTCTCCATAAGCTGAAACTGGGTAGTAGTGATAAGTAGTAGAATGATCATTAATAGAATAGACATGGCCAGGATAGTCATGAAGTGTTTCCTGTTATTCATTGCAATACCCTGTTTTGAGACCTTGCGTGCTCTGACCTGGCCCTTTGAGTTAATGTAACCCACTCATGTCCCAGGGCTGAGCAGCACAAACCAGCTAGGGCTGGAAGAAACAAATCAGGGTCCCTCTTGTTTGTTTCTTCTCTGATTCCATCTTCACCCAACACTAGCCGTAGGGTTAGTCTTTCTTTCTTGGCCTCTTTGCACCATCTTTCTTGGGCTCTTTGCACATCATACTTAGCTGTCTTCTTTGATACCTGAAGGATGCAAAGGTTGTTCCAGGCAAAGGCACATGCACATAGATAGGGCTGAAGGCAGAAGGGTGGGAACTGTGAAAACTCAAACGACTAAAAGTAATTACAGTTTTGCTGTCCTATCACTGAGGGATGGGAAATTGGTAAGGTAAGCCTGGAAAGGTAAATATGACCCAGGACAAAAGTCTGCATATTGTATGAGTCCATGTATACGAAATGTCCAAAAAGACAAATCCACAGGGACAGAACATGGATGAGTAGTTACTGAGGGGTAGGATGGGAATAAAGAATGGTGGTAAATCACCACTCTATTCCTTTTTAGGATGATGGAACTGTTCTAAAATTAGACTGTAGTGATGGCAATTCTGCACTATGCATAATACAATTTTGCAAATATGCTAAAAAATACCCATGAAATTATTGTGAATCACATACAGGTGAATTTTATGATATGTAAATTATGTCTTAATAAGCTGTTAAAATACAAAAAGCATTTCACAAACCCTGCTAAGGAGTTTTGTTGTTATCCCAGTTGAGGCAGGAAGGTATTAATGATGCAGATACAAGCCTTTACATTTTAGAAAGCTCCCTGGGGTATTATACACAGCCCCTGCTATGTAAGGTTGGGGTGAGAGGAAGAGAACTGACTTCTGTTGAGCACCTACTGTATAAGAAACACTGTGTAGAGACTCGTTACGCAAATTATTTCATTTAAACTTCACAACAACCTACCGATACCTTTTACTATATCTGGATGGTTTGTTGCCATTGCAGTAGGTTTGTGATTCTATTGGATGTGATATAGTATAAACAACTACTGCTTTACCTGTGAGGTAATTAGGACTCAGAGAGGTAAATAGCCCAGAGGCACGCAGACCAGACGGGAAGTGGCAGAACCAGGATTGGAACTCAGGGGATGTCTCATCTAAAGCTTTGCTCTTTCTACTCCACTCTGCCGCCTTGAAATTGGGTGAATTCACGTGCATAGCATGAGGTTGAACTGTTTGGTAGATTGCCCAGCATTAATTCCTACACATACCCCTTGTGTTAGTTTTCTGTTGCTGTTATAATAAATTACCACAAATTTAGTGGCCTAAAGCAACACTAGATTTATTCACAGTTCTGGAGGTCAGAAGACCAAAATCAATCTCACTGGAATTAAGTCAAGGTATAGGCATAGCTGGATCATCCTGGAGGCTCTAGAAGAGAATCCATTTCTGTGTCTTTTTCAGCTTCTCTGGCCTGCCGGCATTCCGTGACTCATGGCCCTTTCCTTGCACTGGTGTCACTCTAACTCCTTTCTTTCTTTCTTTCTTTCTTTCTTTTTTTTTTTTTTTGAGACAGAGTCTCACTCTGTCACTCAGGCTGGAGTGCAGTGGTGCAATCTCGGCTCACTGCAACCTCCACCTCCTGGGTTCAAGCGATTCTCCTGTCTCAGCCTCCCAAGTTGCTGAGACTACAGGCACACGCCACCACACTGGCTAATTTTTGTATTTTCAGTAGAGACGGGGTTTCACCGTATTGATCAGGCTGGTCTCGAACTCCTGACCTTAGGCGATCCACCTGCCTTGGCCTCCCAAAGTGTTGGGATTACAGACGTGAGCCACCGCGGCTGGCCTATATCACTCTAACTTCTGCTTCTGCCCTCACAACTCCTTTCTCTCTGACTTTGGGCCTCTTGCATTCCTTTTATAGGGACCCTTGTGATTACATTGGTCCCATTTGGATGATCCAGGATAACCTTTTCTCAGGACCTTTAATTTAATTACAGCTGCAAAGTCCTTCTGCCATGTAAGGTACCATATTCACAGGGTCAGGATTAGGCCACCACCCTGCTCTAGAAACCCTTTGTTTAAAAGGAGTCTGAGAATAAATGTAGTCTTCCACATTTTGACCTTGAACATAAGCTCAAAACCTTTTCTTTATTTATAACAACAAAAGCAAGACTAGATTAAATAATATTATTATTTATTTGCCTCCAATTTTAAATCTCCTCCACTCGAAATTTTAGAGGAATAAAATAAAGACTTGATCATGAGCCATGAAGAATATCATTTTCCTTGGAAAGCATTATTATTATTAGTTAATAAATTACAAAATAACTTTCATATGTTCAGCCCTCAGAGAGGTCTCATGACAAAGGAATGTGGAAATGTGGACAAATGGGAACAAACAGACACGTAGAATAATGTTTACATTGCATTATAAACTGTTTTGAGGCATACTTTCTCTTCTACCATTTCATTCGAGACAAATATAAGCTTCATAAAGCTCTTTTTCAACAGGTCAGTGTGTTGTTTTTTAAAGGATCCGTGTTATCTATTTTGCTCTAGGGTTGCTCACTTACTGCCAGAGCTGTAAATTGTCAATGTCAAGGCACCAACAGAAGAGGAACAAAACCAGAGGCCATGAGACAGCCTTGACTGTTCTGACCAAAGGCACGCTGCAAAGAAAGGAGCTTATTGATTGTTATTCAAGGGTCCTGGGTTCTAAGGGGTTGTTTTTTCAAGGTGGGAGAACTAACCATCTTTAAACAAATAAACAAACAAACAAACATATACATTAGGGGTTGAAGAGGCTGGGATTTTTTTTTTTTTTTTTTTTTTTGAGTTGGAGTCTCGCTCTCTCACCCAGGCTGGAGTGCAGTGGCACGATCTCAGCTCGCTGCAACCTCCACCTCCAGGGTTCAAGCGATTCTCCTGCCTCAGCCTCCCGAGTAACTGGAACAACAGGCATGCGCCACCACGCCCGGCTAATTTTTGTATTTTTAGTAGAGACGGGGCTTCACCATATTGGCCAGGCTGGTCTCAAACCCCTGACATTGTGATCCACCCACCTCCGCCTTGCAAAGTGCTGGGATTACAGGTGTGAACCACCGTGCCTGGCCAGGAGTGTGAGATTTTTTAAGCTCCTTTTCAGAGTTTCCCTATATATTCTCATTTCTCCTTGACCAATGCAAGCAATGCCATTCTCTGTAACTCCTGTCACCTTCACATACTGTATCATCCTCTTAATCTTTTGTTCTCTTCTTACACTCAGCATATCACCATGGACTTTTTCTATCCTTCAATTCAAATCTCATGACAGGCTTCTGCTAGAAGTAGTATTTTAGCTCACAAATGTCCCGGCCCGTTAACCAGATTTGTCTCACTCACAGAGTAAAAAACTGGTGGACTCAGGATATCTGCTCTCTGACATTAACTGCTCATGTGACCTTGAGATCAGTTTGTCAAGATCTCAGTTTTTCCAAATAAAAATCAATTCACCAACATTTTCTAATTGGGTGAAAACTCAATTGGGTGACAACTCAATTGCGGTGCCTTTCAATTCCAATCTCATAAACTCAGAACATTTGGTGGATACAGGAAGTATGTGCTGGGTCTTGGGGTTTGGGGTTTCCAAAAGGCTGACCCAGAGATAAGATTTTGAGTGCAAGCAATATTTTGAGAGGTGCACACAGAAAATACCAGCAGGGATTTGGGGAAGTACGACAGAAAAGAGAAGAAAGTCAGTAAAAGGTGTTATTTTCAAGCCACTGACCACTGTGTGAAACATACCTCCAAGTTATTCCAATTTAAGTGTGTAGAAATTGGGGTATGTATTCACTTACTTCCTCTCCATCATTGGATGATCACTGCTTCATTGAGCATTGTCTCCCATACTCCTACGGTCAGGGAAAAAAGCCCTCTGTACAATTGTAGATGTTCCCAGTAAGCTTCTAATTAGAAAAGTAAGTGCTACTGGGTTATGGGCCGAGGGAGTGCTGACTCTATCTGTTACAATGAGTGTGAGAGGTGTGGGGAAGTATGGGAAATGAATATTAAATTAGGAAATAGGAAAGCCCACGGCCTGTGTTTTGCATTCTTTTAAACTTGCTATGACATTTCTAGAGATTACAAGGCATTGTTCTGCAATGTTTAGCAGCATAAACATGCTATCTCCATGATGGACATGGACCAGAAAATTAATTTGCAGCTACACGTTAAAGAAGAGCTCACTAAGATCCTGACCAGAGTGGAAAGGGTGATATGTTAATAAATTATGGCTGCTCTGTATTATTTATATGAAAATACTCTTAAAACTTCACTCTGCAAAAATCTGCAATGAATTTTTTTCTCTATATCCATTCTTCAGAAATGACATTAAAATGTTATAGCGCTGAGACATTTTAACTATTAAGGAGCTCATTTTCAATTGCTTGGTATAGAAGATTCAGTTTGGCCAAAAGTCTTTCTTTATGTATTTTGGGTCTTTCTTTTCTTTTATGAGACAGGGTCTCACTCCGTCACCCAGGCTGGAGTGCAGTGGTGTGATCAACTGCTCACTGCAACCTCAACCTGCCAGGCTCAAGCAACCCTCCCACCCCAGCCTCCTGAGTAGCTGGGACTATAAGAACACACCAAAATGCCTGGCTATTTGTAAATTTTTTTGTAGAGACAGAATCTCACTAAACGCTGTTGCCCAGGTTGGTCTAATTTCTGGGCTCAAGTAATCCTCCTGCCTCAGCCTCCCAAAGTGCTGGGATTACAGGCATGAGCTGCCTTGGTAGGCTGAATCTTTCTTTAAATGCACCAGCCAGTGCTATAGGTAAAATGGGCCGATTGGTCTTATGATCATCCATTGAAAAGATTTGGCATTTAGATATGCTTTTAGAAATATATGGGGCGGGAGGAATGGGAAAATTTAATTCCTTTTCCCCCTTCTGAACTTTATTTCTGAGAACTCAACTTGCCAACATCTATGAAAAATAGAAGAGGCTTAGCAATCAATCACTGGGGGAGGGGGTGATGGAAGGGGAAGGAGACAGCTGGCCAAGGAATTCTAAGCTTCAATCATTTTGTAGTTCGGAACAAGAGAGCAGGATTGCCGACTTTTAGATTTCTTTTCAGAGGTGGTGCGTGAGCAGCATATGGAATATTCTAATAAAGTCAAGTATAGGTTTAACTCCTTTAGGAAACAATCAAACAGGTAAAACGTGAGTCTTTGGGTGAATTTTAAATAAGGTTTGACTTATGTGTAACCTGGGATCTTAGAATAAAAAGGGACTTTGTAGAGCATCTGATTCAACCCTTCCATTTGACTCAAGAAGAAACCAGGACCTTGAAAGTTTCAGAGATTTGGCCACCAGGACTCCAGAACTTATGGACTAAAGTGTTCTCATATGTGTCCAGGGCTCCTTCTGCCCTACCCCATTGCTATAGTCTTTCCCACTTATCAGCAATTTTACTTTCTGTGGTTTTAGTTACTCATCGTCAACCATGATCTGAAAATATTAAATGGGAAATTCCAGAAATGAACAATTCGTAAGTTTTAAATTTCACTCCGTTCTGATATTGTGATGAAATCTTGCTCCGTCTACTCTGTCCTGCCTGGGTCGTGGATCATTCCTTTATCTGGTGTCTCTCCTGAAGATGCTTCCCACCTGTGAGCCACTTAGTAGCCATCTCAGTCATCAGATCAACTGTCCTGGTGTCACAGTGCTTGTGTTCACGTAACTGATTTTACTTAATTGCTCTACTTTATTATAAGTAATTGTTGCTAATCTGTTACTGTGTATAATTTATAAGTTAAATTTTATTATAGATATGTATGTATAGGAAAAAACATAGTATGTATAGGGTTCGCTATGATCTGCAGTGTTTGTTTGTTTTGAGACAGAGTCTCGCTCTGTTGCTCAGGCTGGAGTGCAATGGTGCAATCTCGGCTCACTGCAACCTCTGCCTCCTGGGTTCAAGCTATTCTCCTGCCTCGGCCTTCTGAGTAGCTGGGATTAGAGGCACCCATCTAATTTTGTATTTTAGTAGAGATAGGGTTTCACCAAGTTGGCTAGGCTGGTCTTGAACTCTTGACCTCAGGTGATCCACCTGCCTCGGCCTTCCAAAGTTCTAGGATTACAGGCTTGAGCTACCGCGCCTGGCCAAAAATGATCTGCAGTTTTAGGCATCCATTGAGGGTGTTGGAATGTACCTCCCTGCAGATAAGGAGGGACGGCTATATATTGCTGCTGTTCCTTTTCCTCCTCTTCCTTCTACTTCTCTCTCTCTCTTTCACACACACACACACACACACACACAACACATTTAAACAAGACATTCAACTTGAAAGGACAACTATCTAGGACCCATTTCTTTTAGCTTATCACTATATGTAATAGCTTCACACACTCTCTCCCCCTAAAACTTATAAAGTTATCCTTGGCTTTACAAGGATGGAAGTAAAACACTGGAATCCTCCATTCAAACAAGGTCTGCAAGGATTTGTGTGAATCATTTGATTAGCAATGAGAGCTCAGTAATTAGTGTAATGTAAGGATCGAAGTTAAATGAACATGCCACTAATGGGGAAAGGTGATGTTTTCATGGAAAGTCTTTCTCTAGACCTTTTTCTAGATCTCCATCTTGAGAAACATAGTGGGCCATTTAGCTTTTAAAAGTGAGGCTTTTAAAAGTGTGGCTCTGTCCTGTTTCTCTCAGCTTCTCTTCGCCTGATCTGTTCCAATGTCTTTGTCATTTAACATCTCTGAACCTCAGCCTCCCCCTGTTGAAATAACATTTCTTGGCTGGGGTAGATCTTGTTTTGGAGGAGGTCTTCCTAAGGAAAAATATAGAAATATCTGATTTTGAAAATTTAGGAAAAACATATGTGCATGTGAACACGTGGCTAGGTCCTCTCCCAAGGCCTTTGGAAAGGGGCCCAGGCCTAATTTCAGCTCCCGTATCTTCAAGGCAAATCTGCCTGTATGTTTCAGCATCCTGCATGATATTTCCTTCCATCTCTAGAAATCCAACCGCATCCTGCCTGGCCTGGTTTGCAGCAGTGCCCTTGGCTAGGCCCCTGAGTACCATCCACTCTACTCCTCCATCTCCCACTGGCCGCCAGAGTCTGTGTTCAAAATCTGAATCTCATCATGTCACCCCCTTGCCTAGTGCAAATTCTCTCTCCCTGATTTTCCATCATCTTAAGAATAATCACTAATTCTTTAGAAAGGCATCCAAGGCCTTCCAGGAGGGTCCAGTCCTTACCCTTCCAATACTTGTTCTTGCCAGGCTCTCAGGACCACGTCCACACCCCAGCCACTCATGCTGTCTGCCGTTCCACGCAGTCAGGGCTCGCCTACCTCCATGCCTGCTGCCCTGCTCTGCCTCCTCAGCACTCTGGCTGCCGTATCTCTCTTTTAAGACTTTGCTCCCAAGACACCCAATAGTGATGTCTCTCGGGCTCCCCAATAAAAATAAGCATTCTTTCCCTCCCCGCACCCTGTGTCTTAACATCTGGGATACGTTGTTGCTCTGATGAGCTTCTCCCACCTACAAAGCTTGACAATAGTCACGTATGTCTTATTTGTATTTGCAGTGCCTGCTAGGACGGTGTTGGCTCATAGTTGATGACACGTGTTTGTTGCATGGGGTCGACTTCATATTAACTCCTTACTTACCACAGCAGTATCAAGTCTCAAGGGAAAGAAGTGTTTCCAGCTTTTCAGACTGAAATTAAGTACTAACAAGTTATGAAACTCAAAATGGCTCCATCTGAGTTGTTTGACCACCAGGATCATTATAGATTTTAACTGGAATATTCCTAGTGATTACTGGGCGTGGTCTTCTGCTTTTGTAGACCTTTGCAGCAGGAATAAGAAAGGGCAGCTGGTGAAAAGAGGAGGGAGATGCCCCTAGCACTGTTTTGTCCTTAATATGCTCAAAATGATTGTTGATTTTAAGGCCCTTTCTTTAGAAGAAGCTGAAGAAGAGAGTGGCCAGGAGACCACTCCACTCCCACCTCCAACCCAGCCACTGAGCACATTGTCCCTGGTGGACCAGGGTCTGTGTTGGCCAGAGACTGTCATATTTAACCTTTCTTCAGGTGGAGGAGGCGGAAGAGTGAATTCTGCTTTCTTTTTGCTGCTTGAAAAGTTTACCTGGCCCCTTATTCTTCACTTTGGGCAGATTCCCTCTAATCGTTATCATAATCATTAAGCATGTCTCTGAATCCATTAGGTGCATCTCTAAACATGGCGGTGCTGCACCAGGCATTGAACAAAGGATGCAAGTCAGCCAGCAGATCCTACCTTCAGGAGTTCACAGTGCACATGTAGCTATGAGAGAATAGTTGGCGAGGTCCAGAGACCCCTCCTGAGCTCTGTTTTGCAGTTGCAGTGGGTCTCTGGTGGTCTGACATTCTGAAGAGATCCTACTCTCATCCACAGAACGGTGGCACACCCAATTAGAATGCACCTTCACATTTTCATTGCTTGCATCATGTTGTTTTGGTGTAACTTTGTAGCATTGTGAGCCTCACACACAGGCATTATTGTTTAGAGAAACGTTCCCTTTCTATGTTTGTATGCGGAGGACCTCCAATGCAGTGAGTTTTCCTTTAAAGAAAATGACCCCCTCCTCCAAAAAAAAAAAAAACCCCACACAACTAAGTTACACTGTAACTTAGTTACAGTGTATTTGGGGAATTCTGTAAGCCACTGTGATTCTTTCTGGAACAAAATCAAACGCTAAAAGGTTGTTTCATCCTTTCGTTGTTGAATACCTGGTAAATAACATAGTTTATTTGGAATGACTGATTTAAGAAGACCTGCTTTTCACCCAGAAAATGGCTCTCCAAAATGTTCTTTTTTGTTTGCATAAGGATGAAATCACTTTCACAATTAGCATGCTTTGTTAGCCACAAGTGGAGATAGTTCTCTTCATGGTACGTAGAAATGTTCAATCTACTGATGGAAAAGCTGATGACATAATTAGGAGATCCTGGTCAAATTATTTTGTTTTGTGTCATAGCAAAAGGAGGGTGGCATAAGTCCTCAAGATAACAGTTTTTATCTAATAGTGAAAACTTGTTATTCTAAGTGCATACAGAAAAAGAAGCATGGAGTATGTGTGTATGTATGTGTGTGTACGTGTGCATGTGTGCACGTGTGTGACAAATGACAGATGCTAAAAGGTTTATTATTTGGCCTGTTGATTTCTATTTGCTCTTGCCAATCCATCTGCCCACTAGCCTTAAAGTGACCAGGATGAGAGAAGGATTCATTATCTCCCCGCGTCACCCTTCCAGACCTAGACTCAGGGCACCAGGATCTGGCGTGTCAAGCATGTCCCATACAAGTGATATTATATGCTCCCAGAGAGCAAAGTATGTTTTGTCAAATAGCACGGTGACTTGCACTTACCCAGTAGTGCCCAATAGTCATTGGAATGAATCCATAGGAGAGTTAGGGGTTAAAATTGTGGTGAGTTTAGATTCACTATTTTTGAGTCACAAGCAGAATGACTTCTATGTGTGATTGTGGCAAGGAGGATAGGATGGAGTGGGCAGTTTAAAAAAAAAAGTCTACGAAAACTATTTGAGACCCCCATGTCCTAAGTCTTAGATAACTTCTTTTTACTTCATTCTAGAGACACTGGTGCAGACCAAAGACAAAGACAGCCCGGAAGAGATATATCCTTGCTGTTATTTATATATTTTTATGAAGTCTCTCCTTAGTCATATTTTCATTTTTCAGAAATCCCCAAGTAGGACTGAATCTGCCTACACGATGTCTTTAAAATAAAACTTGTACATCAGTATTCATAGCTCCGCCTACTCTTCCTCCCATTTTTGAGGTGTGTGCGGGTTATACAGATGCCTGGGGATGTGCTTCCATTCTCCTTGACATAAACCTGGTCAGCTTCCCTCAGGATAACTGGTGGGAATGCTTGCCAAACAGGATTACAAATCAGAAGTCCTCAGATATGCAGCCTGCAACAGTCAGCTTATTCCTGCAACATTGCATTTAATCTATCTTCTTGCATGAGTGCTGCATTTAGGAAACTGGCCTTTTCAATAGGTGAATGTGACTAGAATCGCCAAGAACTTCATAATTTTTTCAGAGCTGATTTCATAAATATAATAGTATAAAATACTGGTGAAAAAAGTAATCAAAAAAAGGATGCTAAAGACAGTAGCATAAAAACTGTTCCCCATCCCTGCCTCCCTTGCAAAGCAAGCTAATTGGAACTGTCCAGCCAAATGTCTTGTTACTGATATGATTTTGTGCCTTGGCATATTCTGATTACTACCATGAATAGGAAGAAAACCTTTAAATTAAATGAAGTAGACAGTATTTCCCTTCTTTCTCCTATTAGAATGTGAACAATCTGAGAAAATCTCACATTGGAAAGATTTTTATCGTGCTTACGTAGGAAAAATTCCACAAAGCATCCCCAGATGTAAGCACTTTTCTTTACCTGTTATTTGAATTGCCAAATCTTTTTTCCAGGTTAAGAGGTTAGGAGTTCTCCCATTCAGAATTTTATCATGGGATCGCTGTCTTGACTCATATTCATTTCCCATCCTCGATTGGACATGACATGACCAGTGAACTGGTTGAAACAGGAAGTCTCTGAACTACAAGGAAGAAAACTTCAGGGTACAAACCATGTATAAGTGGGCAGTTTGTAGTAGGTAGCTTAAATGTATGCCTCAGCGCATCTTGGCATATATATTTTTATATGTATTTTCAATATTTTCTGCTTTATTCCCAGGGTCTAGATCAGGTCCAAATGAGTTGGCAGTTGCTTGAACCCCATCAAATTATTTGTATCTCCCGAATCCACCTGGGCTTGCTTTCTTTCTCTAAGCCCCTCTCTGCCACCAGTTTGATTTCTTGTTAGACTTTTCTACATCTTTTTTGCTTACTCTCTCCCTTCCCAAATCCCAATGAGCCTCTTTTACTAATGACCTTTGAGAAGAGATTAGATGTTTGCATATTGACTTGAAATTCCAGAACTGAAACAGGTAAATTGTAAGGTTGCTTTTCACCTAATCAACAGGTCTTAACATCCTCATTCTTAGGCTTTCCTCATGTGACTTCCCCCAAGTTAGCTGGCCCCTCCTGGCAGCTCTCTGCAGCTCCCGACAACCCCTAATAGTCCTCTAGCTAGAACTGCCCAGGTTCTAGTCCCCAAAGCAACTTTCTCCGGCTACTGCTTAGAACCCTGTTTAGTCCTTTCCTCTGAGACATGAATGACTTTTCTACTACTTGTCAGTTGTTTACTCACTGTTAAAATTAACCTATCAGCCGGGCATGGTGGCTCACGCCTGTAATCCCAATACTTTGGGAGGCCAAGGCGGGTGGATCATGAAGTCAGGAGTTCAAAACCAGCCTGGCCAACATGGTCAAACCCCATCTCTATTAAAAATACAAAAATTAGCCAGGTGTGGTGGCAAGCCCCTGCAATCCCAGCTACTCGGGAGGCTGAGGCAGAGAATCGCTTGAACCCGAGAGGTGGAGGTTGCAGCGAGCCTGGGTGACAGAGCAAGACTCCATCTCAAAATAAATACATAAATAAACAAACAAACCTATCTAAAGTTCCCTTTCCAGGCTTGCTCTCAAGAATCAGTTTACTTTTCCAAAAATCGCTAGACTTGAAATTGAACAACTGGGGTCCAAACTCCTGTTTCTATCACTTTTAGAGCCTCTGTTTGCTCATCCATCCAGTGGATAAGTTCCTGACTCTCAAAAAAATGCTCTACTTTTCTAGCTATAACTAATGAGATGTATATTCACAATAACTATGCAATTAGAGATGTTACATCTGGTGTAAATGAATTTTTGAATTTCTTCTTTGATCATTAAGGCTAAGACCCCTAAAGACATGAAGACCAATCTTGATTTTACATATGAAGAAAGTGCTCCTGCATACCACAGTCATTTAGTTAGTAGAAAAGCTGAGAACAAAACCAATGCTTGAGATTTCCAGTCCCTTGATTTGTTTTTCTTGTATGACATGTTGAATTTGCAAACTCAAGGAAATACAAATTAATTTAATGCTTGCTGCAAGGAACTGTGGATAGCACTGAAAATACAAAAAGAAAGCCTAGTTTCTATTCTCAAAAAGATTATGAACAAGTAGAGAATAAAGATAGGTCACTAACTAATTAATACAGGGAAGAGTGAAGTAAATGCTAAATAAAGCAAAATCTGATTGTAATTTATCTGATTCAAAAGAGGAGGTGGCATTTAACCTGGGTCTTGACAGTTATGAAAGATTTGAAGACATGGAGAAGTAGAGGGCGGGAAGAGCACTCCAGACAAAAATAATTACAAAAGTAAAACCAAAGAGTCTTGAAGGTACATGGTGAGGACTTGGAATATAGAAGAGGATAATGTTAAGTAGAGGGTAGGAATTCTAAGGAGACGTATTTATTATTTATTTATTTATTTATTTATTTTTATTGTTGTACTTCAAGTTCTAGGGTACATGTGCACAACGTGCAGGTTTGTTACATATGTATCCATGTGCCATGTTGGTGTGCTGCACCCATTAACTCATCATTTACATTAGGTATATCTCCCAATGCTACCCCTCCCCACTCCCGCCACCCCACGACAGACCCTGATGTGTGACGTTCCCCTTCCTGTGTCCAAGTGTTCTCATTGTTCAATTCCCACCTATGAGTGAGAACATACAGTGTTTGGTTTTCTGTCCTTGCGATAGTTTGCTGAGAATGATGGTTTCCAGCTTCATCCATGCCCCTACAAAGGACATGAAATCATCCTTTTTTATCGCTGCATAGTATTCCATGGTGTATACATGCCACATTTTCTTAATCCAGTCTATCATTGATGGACATTTGAGTTGGTTCCAAGTGTTTACTATTGTGAATAGTGCTGCAATAAACATACATGTGCATGTGTCTTTATAGCAGCATGATTTATAATCCTTTGGGTATATACCCAGTAATGGGATGGCTGGGTCAAATGGTATTTGTAGTTCTAGATCCTTGAGGAATCACCACACTGTCTTTCACAATGGTTGGACTAGTTTACAGTCCCATCAACAGTGTAAAAGTGTTCCGATTTCTCCACATCCTCTCCAGCACCTGTTGTTTCCTGACTTTTTAATGATCGCCATTCTAACTGGTATGAGATGGTAAGGAGATGTATTTTGAATTTAGATTAAAACCTAACTAGTCTGGGGCCATATAGTCAAGAGTGTGGCCTTTTTTGTTGTTGTTGTTTTTTGGAAATTGATAACCATTGGAGGTAGTTAAGGAGGCAGGCGATGTGAGATAATTTAATCTTTCAACAAAGTAGCTCCTTCCAGAACTGATGTTTGGACAGATTGAAGAGCCAGAGGGCATAGATAGTGGGAATAGAAAGAAGGGCTGGTTCTAGAAACATGCCACGTCAGGGCTGGATTTAAGTCAACAATTCTAACCTTAGGAACTTATATCATTGTTTATTTCTAAGTTATCCCCTCTGGTGTTCCAAGAAAGAATCCCTTTTAATATATGGTCACCACTTTCGATTTTGTCATTCCATGGGTACTAACCTGGTTACACCTTTCATTTATAGGATATTAGCTAAAACTAGTTTTAAAATAATTTTGGGATCATTACTGGGGAGAGGATGGGTCCTGTTGTCTACACCTCCCCCAACCGAGCAGTTTGTTTCATAAGGAAAAAGCAAACCGTCTAATGATGAATCTATAATACTGGAGAGTTCATCAATCACAGTTTCAGAACATGCTCTTAATAAACAGGAAGCCCAGGAGATTTTTATAGCACATTCATGGAAATGTAAGAACAAAATCTGAGCAAGACCAAATGACTAAAATAGTTATTTTGAGTTTGAAACTTCTCACTTACAAGTTTTGGAACTGCTTCTATACTTGGCAAAAGCCGGGTTGTCCCTTAAGTTAAAATCATCTAAACCACAATATTCCACTAGTATATATAGATACAATTTCATCCAACTGAAACCAACTAAAATTTATTTTTTATTAATAGAATATGAGGTTCATAGGCATCATCAACATTCTAAGTTGATACTTTAAGATGCACTTTGAAAAGTACTGTTTATAATTTCTCTATTTCACACCTCATCTCCATAAATTATCTCAATAATCCAAATTTTCTATGGTTCAATTTTCTCGAACCATAGGAAAAATTAAGCCTAAGGTCTTACTCCAATTGAGAAATTAACCTGTAGAGACTAGATTTTGCATGGGCTCAAATAGCAGGCATAGGTTTAAAATTGATTGAAGGTAGATGCAGTTGGATCTCCTGTATACCAGTAAGTACCTCCTGTAATTTTCTTCCCGATGAAAAACCAAATTCTTTTGTACTTTAATGTATTTAAATGTGGCTACTGTTTATATTGACCATACTACATCATCAGAAGTTTGTAAAGTACTACAAATTAAAAAAAAAAAAAATATATATATATATATATATACACAGAGAGAGAGAGTCATACACACACTTACACAAACACGAATATGAAAGTTAATAGTATTTTTTATAAAGGCCAAAACCTAGAAACAACTCAATGTCCATTAAGAATAGAATGGATAAATTAATTATGGTGTAATTATGCAATGGTATAGTTCACAGAAATAGAAGTAACAAAATCACAATTATGTAGATGAATCCCATAAACATAATATTAAGGGAAAGAAGCTAGAACACGTATTGTATAATTCAATTTATATTAAGTTCAAAAACATGCTAATTTTTTTTTTTTTTGAGATGGAGTTTTACTCTTGTTGCCCAGGCTGGAGTGCAATGGCACTATCTCAGCCCACTGCAACCTCCGTCTCCCAGGTTCAAGTGATTCTCCTGTCTCGGCCTCCCAAGTAGCTGGGATTACAGGCACCTGCCACCATGCCCGGCTAATTTTTGTATTTCTAGTAGAGAGGGGATTTCACCATGTTAGCCAGGCTGGTCTCAAACTCCTGATCTCAGGTGATCCACCTGCCTCGGTCTCTCAAAGTGCTGGGATTACAGTCATGAGCCACCGCGCCTGGGCTAAAAACATGCTAAATTAAACTATAATGTTAGAAACAACTTGCCCTGAGCTTTCAGGAGCAGGGGTGGGTAGAGATTGGGATGAGGCATCAGTGGGGGCTTCAGTGACGCTGGCAAAGTTTGTTTTCTTGATCTGGGTGATGTCTGCATGGGCATCCCAGGACCTTGCACCGGTGACACACATAGTTGTGTATTGTGGAGCTGAAAAAGTATTGCCTAAAGTCTTTTCAGACCTTTCATTACTAAATAGACAATAGTTCTAACATAAAAGATCTGATGTGCTAGAAACACAGCTGACAAGAATTCACGGAGTGCTATGGGCCTACTACTGTATGGTTTCAGTCTTTAGCTCACTAGATGAGAAGCCATACTAATGCTCTTGCGTTCATTATTCCCCCCAGTGTTTGTTTGATGCCAGTTCTATGCTAGGCAGCATGCTAAAGAAAGGGATGGATAAAACACGTTTTGCCATCAGAGAGCTTCCAGTCTCGTTTGGGCGACAGATATGTGTGCATGCCAGATAGATGTGCATATGCATGCCAGACCCCATGATGCCAGCATAGAAGACACCTACGGAAGATTGGTGGGGAGGAGGATCCATCTTACTTGTGAGGACGGGTGTATGGAGAGCTTTGAAGGGGAGGCGGTATTTGAGCAGTCCTTGATCCATCAGTATGCTTATCAGAGAGGACTCAGAAGGGCAACATAGTTCAGAGAGAACAAGGTAAGCAAAGGTTTAGAGAAGTGAAAGCCTATGGTTTGCTAAGAAATGCACCTGAAAGACACCTGTCAAGATGCTAATAGGGGCTACCTCAGAGTGGTTGATTTGTAAATGATTTTTCCTACTTTATATAAGACTGTCATCTGTGCATTTTTTACAATAGGAATGTACTGTATTCACAATTGGAATATATATATCCACACATCTATATATGTATACACATATAAGTGTATATGATTTTAAAAGAAATGTAATATGGATGATTATGATTATAGCCAATAATCTATTATGACTAGGTTTAGAAAGATACAGAATATTAAGGATTTTTATTTTATTCTGCAGGTGAGTGAGAGATAAGAAAGGCCTTTTTACAGCAGAATGACATTATCCATTGAAAAACACTTAGAGAACAGCTCAAAAGAGTATTTGATTCAGCTCCAAAATATGTTACATCAACATATGTAACAAGTCAGAGAAGAAAATAGCATTGCGGACCAGAACATTAATGAAAGGCTTTGTAGAAAGACATGAGATGAGAGCTCAACTTGGAACAATTTGTAATAGTTAGGTAGAAGGAGAAGCATTTTAGCTGAAACAAAGCATGAGCAAAAGCAAAGTGCTGAAGACAAATGTTTCTGTTTGGAAATAATGAGAGCTGGGGATGCACAGGTGAAACCATGAGAGATTAAGGCAGCTTCTAGTTCCAAAAGGATGGCTTTGGGCTTGATTGTGTAAGCCAGTGGAGATCTTCAAGCAGAATGATGGGATAAAAATAGTTCTTGAGCAAATAAAGCTCATTCAGCAGCAGTGTTTAGGCAGATGCAGCAGGAGAGGCACTTGTCTGTATGTGGGGTGCTGATAGTGGAAGAAGTAGGAATAGAGCGGCAGAGGTAACCCATTTTAAAATTTAAAAATTTAGAAGGGCGAAGATTTGCTAGAATAAGATGGAAGGGTTAATGGTGTTTCTACTGTAGAGCAGAATTCTAAAGTCCTGATGATAACTATAAATTGCCAGAGAATCTCACTCACATGAAAATGGCAACACCAGTCCCCACTATGACTGCATGGATGTTGTGAATTTTCCAGCACTTGTGCTAGATGGGACTAACCACTTACACTCTCCTGCTGGGGCCCCTTGGCAGCCACTGGTGCACATTTCTAAGGGGGTTGGCTAGCCTGTGGCTGTGGGAACAGTCAACTTAGCTGATCACAGGGGTGGGCCTTCAACTCTAATCTTAAACATGTCATGTGGCAGCCAACTAAGGTCATCAATGTGAATTAATATTGGAAATTGAATGCCTTAGGGTCCATTTGCAGTACATATTGGCAGGTAAAAGACATAGAGGAATAAGAGTACCATTTCCGTCAGAGCTTTTTAAAAGATGGAAGAATTGTCATAAGCAATTACAAGTTAAATAGTCTTCATCCAGACTGATTGCTGGAGCTGACCTAGAAATCATCTCAAAGTGTTATGTGGCACGAAGCCACATCACACTGATCACCAATTACCATGGGTAGGTAGCAGAAGTGTGTGAAAACTGTCTGGATGCCATGCTAAATATTCATAATGAAGTATTGAAGCGGAGGCTCCCCTTTGATCCTTGGCTACAAAGTTATCAGCGATGCTAATAGAGGTGATGCATTATGAATGAAGATATGTCCATCAGGCAATCATGGAAAACCACCAAGATGCAAAAGTATAATGTTCGCAAAGTACCTAAGCATCTTTTAAATTCCTTGATCTTACCTCCCCAGTGTGTAGAGCATATTATTCCTCTTTTCAGATAAGAAACCTGAAGCTGAGAGGTTAAGCAATTTGACCAGCATCATGGTGGTGAATAGATAGTGGGAAAAACACTGGTTGGCCAAGACAGTCATGTTCGAATTTCAGCACCACCCTTATATGTAGAACCAGAGATGCATCACTTAACCAGTCCGCCTTGCTGCCTCCTGCTGTAAAATGGTGATCACAGTAAGAGCCTACTCATCTCACAGGAGTTTTGAGAGGATCAAACAGATAATAGGTGTGAAAGCAGGATTTAGGTGCAAGGTACCGTCAGTGTGACTAGAAGGTAAAGCTCCTATACATTTTTGAACTTGGCAGAGTCCTCCAAGGAATACAGATCTCCTAGAACAATGTGTGTCTCACTCCGCCTGTTGCTGCAACAAAGATTCAAGAAGGAAATTACTGTATTAACCACTCAAGATGAATATTTACCCTGGCATCATAATGCCTATCTTATAACGTTGAATCCTATACATGGTAATTAGTAATCTGCCTGTGAAATACTAATACAAAAGGTGACTTTCAGGTGGGCAAGCCATCTATTCACTAATTTTCCAAACATCACTGCTATTCATGTGTCCAGGAACTAAAGGCACAAATATAAAGAAGATATAATTGCTTTCCACAGAGTCTCAAAGTCTACAGGGGGAGATAGAGATATAAACATATATTCACAAAGCCAAGTGAGAGGTGAGGCATGAAGAAAATGCTTCAGGGTCACTGAGGGTAGAATGAATAACTTTGGGTAGTCAAGAAAGTTATCATCAGGAGGTGCTATCTGAGTTGCAGGTTATACCAACATATAGTCTGGGAGGCCAGCAAGATAGATGTTGGGTTTGTTGCTCATTCCAATGCAACTTCAGAGTTTCTGACCCAGGCCAGAAGCACCTCACCCCTGCAACTCCCATATTGGTGACTTTCTCTTAATGTTTTCTGTTGAGGACCAGTCTCAACACTGCCTGTAGGATATCCAAAGTCCGGTGGTGACAAAGGATTGAGAAGAGACAAGTTAAGAGTTTATAAAGGTGGGAGCCAGGGGGCCAGTTGCAAAATGGAGGCTGCGAAAGGCCCAGAGTTTTGGTCTCCACAGTATTTATTGAGTACAGTCACTTAGATCAAAGAAGCAGATGTTCAGGACGAAACAGTGAAAGGGAGGCAATGTGTCATAGGCGTAATCTATAGCAATGGTGGTTTAAATGAATCTCCTTTGTGCTCAAACAGCATATCTTTAACTTATTGGAGAGTAGCTAGTGGGAGAAGGCTTAACTAGGAGCCCATACGTCTGTCCACATTTCAGTGTTCTAAAGGAGTGTCTTTCTCCTTGAGCACAGTGTTTACAGGTAAGAGAGCGGGTCTCACTCTGAGCATGGGAACATGATGGCAATTAGGAGGCTTTCCTCCTCAGAGGACTCTTGTGGCTTTCCACAACTTATTGTCCCATATTTTTATAGCCAGTTTATACAGGCACCCCACAAGCCCTTTTCCCAACAGTTTTCTAAGGTCTTATGAGATGCCTGGATGGCAAAGCAGTAATTGTCTTAGCTAGGAGCCCTGGGCCCAGACCAGACCTGTGCCACCCTTACACCCCGTTTCTTCTTTTTGGGATACTCTTCAACCTTCCAATACCATTCCACCCACCCCCAGCCTTGAGAGTTGATCAGATGTCCCAAGGAGCTCGGCACTCCCACCTGTGGTTGGCCTTGGGCCCTGTTGAGACTGAAGAGTACCCTTGACCTTTTCATGGGCAGGAACTGGAGTGCACCAGCTCTGGGACCAGCCGACCACTTCAACACCAACAGGAATGAATTTCACTCGCTCGAACTTGCTAGGCTGAAACCCTCACAAGAGGGAGCACACAGGATAGTGGGTGCCAGGGCCGGGCCAAGCGCTTTTGGGCTCCAGCCCCATGGCAGCATTCTACGGGTGTGTTACAGTTTTAGCTACAATTTTAGTTTTTGTAAATTTAGCAAATGTATACAATTTGCTGTCTATGGATGGCTAAGTGTTGACAGCTCAGTGGTAGGTCAGGGTGACAGCCTTCTGCACCTGCCCCTTTGATACCCAAGTTCTTGTTTGGCATCCAGAAGAATCAGATCACATGAACTGTTTGAAAGGTGATGAATGCAGAGGATTTTATTAAGCAGTGGAAGTGGCTCTCAGAGAATCAGGAGCTGGAGAGGGGATGGTGTAGGATGAAGGTGATCTTTCCCAGAGACGACCGGGCTCCTCTCTGAAGTCATGCCATCTAAAGTTAAGCCACATCTATCTATAGTCTCCAATGCTCTGTTGCTTCTTCTCTTGGTGTTCAGCCACTTTTCTCTTTGCCAGCTGGGGTCTGGGGTTTATATGGGCACAGGATAGCAGGGCGAGGCAGGCCAAAAAGGCAACATTTGGGCTGGAAAACAGGGATAACTTTTCTCATTTAGGGCCATAGTTTCCAGGCTTGAGGGTGGGGCTTTTGCCAGGGAACCACCCTCTTCTGCCCAGTATTTCCCTGCCTCCTGTCCATATCGCTATTACCTGTCCCTTGTTCCAGGAGGGTAGGCTGCCAAGCAGTTTACCCTGCTGACCAGGATGCCATTTCTTTTATAAATCAGGTGAGATGGTTGCTAACACACTGACCCAGGGTGACACAAATTGCTTCTATAGACAAGGACCCTGGCACCCAAGGGGTGGCCCTGGTTTGCAGGGCAGTAGATGGGCATGTTTAGCTTGTGTCTCCACAGGACTGCCCCATACTGGAAAATTTTCCCCTTACAGAGCTGATCAATATGTCAGTGTTCAGTGATTACAACAGGTCATTCCGTTACCTGCCAACTGAATACTTTCTAAAGAGGCCGGCAATACAGAAAAGTGGTCTTATGCAGTTTCTCTGATGTCATTAAAAATATTCCCTTCTACTTTTTGGTTTGTTCTTCCCTCACAAAGTCCTGTCCTACATCATTTTCTTCTTAAGAAAAAAATAACTATAACTGAACTGAAACTTCCTCATCAGCATTTTGTTGCCATATGGAGAAATAAGCTGGATGATGAGGACCACTATTGACAGAGGCCAGCACTCTTATGGTAGGCACTGAGGAAGAAATGGAAGTAGTTTAATTAGATAAAACTATAATGGTTTTGTGTTTGTGGAGGAGGAGATCACGTGCACAGTACTTTCTAAACACACTTTATTTAAAGCTTGCTCAAGACCTCAAATAATGAAAATATCAAGTATTCAATGTAATAAGCCTTGCAAATTTCCAATCAGAATACACAGCCTTACTCAATTATGGCACTGACATAAGTATGTTTCTGTGTCTTTTTTTTTTTTTACCCTTATGAAAGGTCTTTCAAAATCCTAATTAGTATCTGCTATTTTCTAGCACCCCAAATCCACCGACAACACACACATTGTTATTTTACCACGTCCCAAAGTTAAACCACTGACTTAAAGGAAGCTACAGAGAAGGGTGAGCTCTAGGTTAATAGAAGACAAGGCCTTTCTTCCTTCTTTCTCCCTTCTCCAATCCCCTCCAAATCCCCAGTGATAAATGTTGAAGGAGAAATCAGAGTTTCCTCCTCTTACACTGTAAATAAATTGAAAATGAAGTCCCTTCATGGGGCTTCATATTTTAAAAATTGAAAATCTAGAAAGATGTTAATTAAATTGTCAAAAACTTCTTGCCTCATTTCACTGCACGGCATAACCAGGTAGCCAGAAGCTAAATATAGCCTCTGAGTGCTATTCTTGGCTCTTAATATAGTGTTAATTATTTAATTTAAACAATATTTCAAACAGTGAGGAAGAAAACCAGTTGAAGAAGAGGTCAGAACAATCAGGTTCCATAGACATCTCCCAGTTATTGCTATCTAATTCTCTTTATTCTCTGACGTATCTCTTATCTGTGTCTTGGACACCATGTTGCAAGTGACAAGTTGTACCGAACTTTTTAGTAGGTGTCAAACTCACCTAAATTAAATTCATTCATTTACCAAATATTGAAGCGGTGCTGTTTTTCATTGCCTTATGCCAAGGAAATTGAGGACGCAGATGCACACAAGGAATGCATTTAAGAGCAGAGGTTTGATAGGCAAAACAAAGAGAAAAGAAAAAAGCTCTCTCTCCTACAGAGAGAGAGGGGCTCCCGAGTGGGTCTTCCGGTTCTGTGGTGAAATGCCCGGGGTGGGGCAGGGGTTTATAGACGAGCTTGAGAAGGCAGCTTCTGATTTACATAGGGCACAAAATATTGGTCAGACCAGGTATGCCATTTACATAGTGCGTGAAGAAGCTGGCCTCCCCACCTTAATCTTTTATTATGCAAATGGGTTCTTTACCTGGCTGGCGCCATGTTGCCTGCTTCTTTACTGCACACATGGTTGACAAAGAAAAAGGAAGATAGAGCCTCCATGTTGAACATGCCTAGCCCCCAGGTGGCCTTTTCATATTGGCACAGCTGCCAGCATTCACCTGTGTAAGCTTCTAGCTTGCTTATCTATGCTTGCAGCTTGATTTTTCAGGCCGTTTTTTGTTAGAAAAGAAATGATTTTGGGGCTGCTTTTTACTAAAAGGAAACCTTACTGAGGACTCTCTTACCCTCACTATCTACCTAAATAATTTATTTCTAGCTCTTCTATCAGTATTAGCCATGCTCTTGTTTACTCTCTGCCAGGTTTTTTGCTAGGAGTTGGGATAGTAGAGCAGAGAGAAATAATGGTTAATAAGTTGGTTCTTGCCTTTGAAATACTCATTCATTAGTTGAGAGAGACAAACACGTAAAGAAATAATCAGAAGAACTTTCAGCAGCATAATAGACTGAACTGACTTTACTGTGGGGTGTCTGACCTGGATACATACCTAAGACACGGAGGGCTGGAGTTTCAATTCTCAATTTAAGGGCAGAGATGTGACAGGCTTGCATTTGCTTCAGGCGAGAGCTAAGACTCTGATTAAGGGAAGCCTCCTCGAAGTCCTGCCCATAGATAAATCTGGAAATTGGGAAAAAAGACAAAACAATCACTTTGCCTATAAGGTCAGGAAAATAGGAAGGAGCTGTAAGCCCAGGGGATCTCTGTAGAGGCAGGAAATTCCCTATGAGAAATTGAAACTGAAAGCCTATGTGATCCAAATTTTTAGTACCCAGAGGATTTGGGAATCCTGGAGCTAAAAGCGAACATATTTTCCCCTCTCCAGGCCATTAGAGTCATTGGAATATTGATAGAAGCAAATAAAAAATCACTCTGTAAGGAGTGGAAAAGCATCCTGTTAAGTATAAACTCACAATGAAAAATCTCCAGATCACATGAAGAAATAGACTAGAATAAAGTCAGCAGATTCAACAAATGAAGAACTAGAAATAAGATATAAATATAAAGGTTTCTATCAAATACATATGCTTACAATAAGAAAAGAAATAGAGAATAAATAGGAGCCACAGTGAAAAAGAAACCACTATGAAAAACAACAGTAAAAAAAGACAGACTAGAAATGAAAAATATAGTCTTTGAAATTAAACACTAATTAAATAGCACAGTGGACACAGCCAAAGATAGAATTAATAAACTGGAAGATCAAAGAAAATCAGCCAGAATGAAGCCCTGAGAACTGAGATGAAAAATATGATATATTAGGTGACACAAAAGATAGTAAAAGGGGATAGTGTAAAGCAACTTCTCTGTCACTCCCTCAAGAGGTGGGATTTTTCCCCCCCTTGGAGAAGTTAAATCCAAAAGCATCTGGATTTAGGCACATAATCATAGCTCCAAAATGAGGCACCCTGTCTGAAATATTTGGCTGACTGGGGTGTTATACTGAGAAGCTATTGAAGGGTGTGGAAAAAATTAGAGATCAGTTCAAAGAAGACTCAGGAAAAAAATTAAGTGATTACTAACTCCAGGAAAAATGAAAAGTTGTTTAAACTAGGAAGTGTAATCATAGAATTCCAAAGAACCATTTTTAACAAAATTGAAATATGTAAAATTTGAATATTTTACAAAATATGATATACAAATGGAGGAGGAAAAGGGGAATGGGAAGGCTTAAGAGCGCTCAGTCTGCTACTATAATATACAGTTAATAGTATTGTAAATTAATGAATTAAGAGAGTATTATAAGCATACTATTTAGAAACTTGGAGTTAAATACCATACGGAATAGCTCAGGAAGAAAAAACAGTTGGAAATTGTTATGTCTGGGGAAGTGAGGAACAGGAGACTACTACTTTTAGCACTATTTAAATTTTTAACTACTTACATATGTTTATTAGATAATGATAATTAAAATATATAAAGATTCATGCTAGTAAACTCAGGGTCTGAGTTTGTTAATCATAGACCCTCACTGAACAAAGGAATCGCCTGCCATTCAGAAAGAAGAAAATTGAACCAAGAAGGAAGGAGTGAGATTGAAGAGGCAGATGTGAAGTTGATAAATATGTTTGTAAAAGTAAAACAACATGAAACAATGATGGAATGTTTTCTAAAGGGGTGGGATTACAGACAAGGTAGAACTGAAAGCAAACCTAAGTAACAGAGAGGGGTGATCGGATTTCAGCATTCTGGGCTTGTTCAGGATATACTGGCCAGAAACATAAGAATATGTTAAAGTTGTAATGACAACTATTAAAAAAAAAAAACAGAAACAAAATATATAACTTCCAAATTAGAGGAAAGGAAAAGAAAGAATAGAACCCCATCAGTCAGAGATCAAGAGGTGCAAAGACAAATAGAAAACCAAAATAATATGAAACAAATGAGTCACAACAACTATAAATAGATTAAACTTCTCTGCTCAAAGTAGAAAAAAAACATGATGCACCAATGAAACAATAGGCAAATATTAACCGAAAGTAAACCAAACTAGCATACCAATATTACTATTAAATAAAATAGATTTTAAAGCTAACAACATTATTAAAGATAAGGAAAATTGTTACTTAATGGTACTCGTTAATACTTAATTACGTATCCATTAATACTTAGTGGTAAATGATTATAGATAAATAATTATGTATTAATACTTAATGGTAAATGATTAATACTTAATGATTTCCTTAATAATGATAAAGGGAATATTTCATAGGAAGATGTAAAAATTTAACAAAATAGTCTCCAAATATGAAATGCATAAATGATTAAAATTACGAGGGAAAACTAATCCAAAATTATAAATGAATTTTTTTAAGACACATTTTTTCACAGTAACTTATACATTAGTTAACTTAGTAATTTTATTGGAGATTTGAACAACTCAAACTATTAATATACAAAGTATTTTCTCTAAAATGCAATAAAGCTATATATGTGTCAAAGATATTGCTTAAAACATATGTTTGGAATTAAATAAATACCTAAGAAATTCGTACATCAAAAGTAAATCATTTCTAAATATGAAATATTTTGAACTGAACAATAATTTAAAACTACTTACAAAATACATGAGATTTGCAAATAGTACTTTGAGGGAAATGTGTAGCCTTGCATGTATGTGTTAGGAAATAGATAATATTTAAAGTGAATTAGCCATGCCGTCAACTCAATAAATATGAAAAGATACAGCAGCACTATCCCAAAGACTGAAAAAAGAAATTATAGAAATAAGAGGTGAAATTCATGGAAAGAAAATCCAAGATACAATGGACACTCAAAAATCAAAGAAAACAAAAACTTTCTTGTTTTGAAAATGTTAATAAAATAGGCAAATCTCTGGCAAGAGGCATCAAAAACAAAACAAAAGAAGGCACAAACAGACTATTAGAAGGACACAGTTAACAGATAATTTTAAAATAACTGAAGGAAATATTATGATCAACTTCATGCAAGTAAATTGGAACACTTAAATAAAATGGAAAATTTTCTAGATAAACTATAAACTACCAATATTGACTGAAGAAGCACTAGAAAATAAATCACTACAATCACTGAAGAAATCAGATCTATAGTAAAAATCAATTAGGCTGATGAGTTTTAATAAACATTTAAGAAGGGTTACTCTTAACTTATTTAAGCTATTCCAGAGACTAAATATGTGACCTCTATTTTATATAAACTTTTCAAGACAATAGAAAGAGAAGGAATGTTCAACAAATCTTTTTATTAGAGTGATACAACCCTTGATCTAAAAACTGGAGAAGGACCATATAAGAGAGAAAACATACAGATCAATCTAATTTATGAACGTAAATTAAATGCAGAAATTCTAAATATAATATTTTAACCCAAGCCAGCAAACTATTTGATAACTTTTTAAAATTTATAAATGTATGGCCGGGTGCGATGGCTCACCCCTGTAATCCCAGCACCTTGGGAGGCCAAGGCAGGCAGATCACCTGAGGTCAGGAGTTTGAGACCAGCCTGACCAACATGGAGAAACCTCATCTCTACCAAAAGCACAAAATTAGCCACGCGTGTTGGCGCATGCCTGTAATCCCAGCTACTCGGGAGGCTGAGGCAGGAGAATCGCTTGAACCTGGGAGGTGGGAGTTGCAGTGGGCTGAGATCACCCGCCATTGCACTCTAGCCTGGGCAGCAAGAGCGAAATTCCATCTCAAAAAAAGAAAAATTATAAATGTATTATAAACTTATAATACATGTATATATGATTTATTACATAATAAATATATATTTATATATAAGTAAATATATATTAGTATATAGTAAATCTCTATATAAGTGAATGTATATTATATATTTATGTATAAGTAAATATATTTTATATATATAAGTAAATCTATATTATATATAAGTAAATATATATTTAAAGCAAATATATATTGTATATATTTATATATAGATAAATATATGGGGGATGGGGAGGAGAGAGTCTTTTTATTCTTCTGCCTGCCATTTTTTCTAGTTTTATTCTATTTTTAATTGACACATGATCACAGCATATATTTATGGGGTACAAATGAGATATTTCAAAACATTTATACATTGCGTGATGATTAAATCAGGATAGTTAGCATATCCATCACCTCAAACATTTATCATTTTTTGTGGCGAGAATATTCAAAATCCTCTCTTCTAGCTATTTTGAAATATACAACACATTGGCCAGGAACGGTGGCTCACGCCTGTAATCTCAGCACTTTGAGAGGCCGAGGTGGGCGGATCACAAGGTCACGAGATGGAGACCATCCTGGCTAATAAGGTGAAACCCCGTCTCTACTAAAAATAGCAAAATTAGCCGGGCACGGTGGCGGGCGCCTGTAGTCCCAGCTACTCAGGAGGCTGAGGCAGGAGAATGGTGTGAACCCGGGAGGCAGAGCTTGCAGTGAGCCGAGATCACGCCACTGCACTCCAGCCTGGGCGACAGAGCCAGACTCCGTCTCAAAGAAAAAACAAAAAAAATAAATATACAACACATTATTATTAACTACAGTTACCCTAGTGTGCAAAGAACGTCAGGACTTATACATAAAAATATATTTAAAATATTCAATATAACTCAGTCCACTGGTACATCACGAAAGTAGCTTTATAAATCAGTATAGGAAAAATCAACTGCGCAATATGCAGTACTCAGGAAAAAAATTATTCTCCATATTGTAAAAAATAAATTGGCTTCCTGGCTCACATCATATATAAAAACAAATTCCAGATGGATTAACAACCTAAATATGTAAAGCAAAGCCTTGAAACTTTAAAAAGAGAATATAGGTGAAGATTGCATAACCTCATCATAGAAAAGAATTTATTTAAAAGTCCAAAAATAGGCTAGGCACAGTGGCTCATGCCTGTAATCTCAGCACTTTGGGAGGCTGAGGCAGAAGAATCCCTTGAGCTCAGGGATTTAGAGACCAGCCTGGACAACATAGTGAGATCTCATGTCTACTTAAAGAAAAATTAGCCAGGCATGGTGGTGCACACCTCTGGTCCCCACTTACTCAAGAGGCTGAGGCAAGAGGTTGTCTGAACCCTGGAGTTCAGGGCTGCTATGAGCTATGATATTGCCACTGCACTCTGGCCTGGGCGACACAGCAAGACCTGGTCAAAAAAAAAAAAAAGAAAAGAAAAAGTAAAAGTCCCAAGGCAGCGCAAAACATCAAGTCAACAATTGGTAAGTTTAAATTTAAAAAAATCTTTATATGACAAAGGACTCACAAACAAAATTATGACTGAAAGACTGGTACTACACATAAAGCCAAAAACAATGGTTATACTAGAAGAAAAAAGAGTCTATATAAATCAATGAGAAAAAAAAATCAATAAACAAGTGGACAAAATATGAGCAAGTAATTTGTAGACACAGAAACCTGAATACCTAAAAGGTAATCAAGATATAGCAATTAAATAACCCAGCATTCTGAAAACCCAAATGAAATAATGGTAGTACCAAGTAATGATGAAGTGGAAAGAGAAACTTTCATACACTGTTGATGAGAGGGTAATTGTTAACGATCACTTTAAGAGCTATCTGTCAATATCTAGTTAAGCTAAAGTTGCACGTACCCCATGACACAGCAGTTCTACTTATATTCTTTAGAGAAACCTTTGCACAAGGGTACAAAAGAGAATTGATTAGGATGCTCACTGGAGGATTGTCATTGACAAAAATTTACATACCAACTAAATAACCCTCTGTAAGGGTTGAAGAATCTTGTGATAGAATCATCTATTGGAATACTAATGCAACAGGAAATATGAATGAACTAGGTTTACATGAACCAACATGCAATAATCTTAAAATACGTTGAGGCCGGGCATGGTGGCTCACGCCTGTAATCCCAGCACTTTGGGAGGCCAGGGTGGGTGGATCACGAGATCAGGAGTTCAAGACCAGCCTGGCCAAGATGGTGAAACCCTGTCTCTACTAACAAAATACAAAAATTAGCCGGGCGTGGTGGCAGGCCCCTGTAATTCCAGCTACTCAGGAGGCTGAGACAGAGAATTTTTTGAATCCAGGAGGCGGAGGTTGCAGAGAGCTGAGACGGCGCCACTGCACTCCAGCCTGGGTGACAGAGTGAGACTCTGTCTCAGAAAAGAAAAAACAAAAACATAGTGTTGCATTAAATATAGAATGTTACAAATGATTCTTAAAGTGTGATACCAAGTATGGACATTGGAAGCCTATAAAGCAATATTTTATATTAATGCTCGCAAATGCATACCTATATGGTAAAAGTTCAACAGGACACACAAACATTAACTTCGGGGTAGTAGTCGCCTCCAGGAAAAGGTGTGGGAAAAGGGAGCATCCGTGATGTTTGGCTATATCTGTAATTTGTATTCCTTTACATTATTTTTGAAACACTAAAGCAGCTAGGACTCCATGTTAACATTTCTAAACCTAAATAATGCCCAGGTGGAAAGTATTATATTCATCATTTTTTGTCTTGTATTTGAAATATTTCATGAAGAAAAACTTAAATACTTACAGGATGTTACAATAAATGTTCAGTTAGCAGTAAGTTCCAAGGTGGCACAAAGGACTGAGCAGGGAACTCTGTTGGTCAGGGTGTACTGCAGGTGTCTTCCAAAATGGCACCCTCACTGCTATGATCAGAAGAACAAGAAAGAGGCTCCAGAAAGATATGAAGAAAGGGCATGTGGGAATCCACGACAAGGCATGGTGTTGTTGAGGAACTGTAAGTCATCTGGAGCAGCTAAGCTTGAAGCGGTGGCAGGTACCAAAGTTGCCGGATGACCCTGTGCTGTGGCTCACACCTGGAATCCCAGCACTTTGGGAGGCCAAGGCCAGAGGATCCCTTGAGCCCAGGAGTTCAAGACTAGCCTGGGCAACATCGTGAGACCCCGTCTCTATAAAAAATTTAAAACTTAGCTAGGTGTGGTGGTGCACATCTGTGGTCCCAGCTACACAGGAGGCTGAGGTGAGAGGATCTCTCGAGCTCAGGAGGTCCAGGCTGCAGTGAGACATGATTGCACCACTGCACTCCAGCCTCAGCGACAGAGTCTCCAAAAAAAGAGTAGGGGAGAGAGAGACAAAGAGAGAGTGGGAGGGGGAGAAAGAGAAGAGAGGGAAGGAGGGAAGGGAGGAAGGAAGGAAGGAAGGAAGGAAGGGGGGAGGGAGGGAGGAAGGGGAAGGAAGGAAGGAAGGAAGGAAGGAAGGAGAGAAAAACAAAGGTGGTGGAAGATGCAGCTATAGAGGAAGATTAAGCCTGTCTTGGCTGCAGGTCACCATTTGTTACCTTAGAAAGGTAAATGCTCACAGCAAGCTCTCACTTCAATCTAGAGTGTCATTTTTCCTCTTCCAACAAGGTTATTTATGTTTCTTTCTTCCCCAAGATAATCTTCCAGTTGCAATTTAGCATCTATTAGAGTCAAAGAATTACATTTTTGGAAAGGCCTTAGCAATCTTCTGCTAGTCCAATGCCCTCATTTTGGCAACCGAAGAATGTATTGATCACTTTGAGGATTAACCCCTCTGAAAGGTTTTGTCTTTGTAATCAAAGCTAACTTAGTTGGCTTTCTGGAATCATTGATTCCTAGGAAAGGTTTATGATGGAATCAGGGGATAGACTGTGTCAGAAGTGGTTCCATTGGTAGAAAATGTCATGCAAGTAATGTTGTGATAAATAAAGACAGGTGTTTAATAAATTACAAATGATGTTGATGGATTTTTAGTTGTGAAAATCAATAATGAAAGAGGTTGTTACTTTAATTCATTTTCTAAAGAATGAAATGAGGATGCCATCTCATCCCACTCTCAGCTTTCGAGTATTTTTTCATCATAAATAAGAGAAAAATTGGGAAGAAAAATTAATAAGTCTTGGCACTGTATTCGGAGGAAGTGACCAAAAGATAGTGCAGAGGGTTCAAGTGCAGAGAAGAAAGGGTGACCTTGAAAGGAGGATGGTTTTCACACGAGGACAGTGCAAATGGTTTGGGGCTGGACTTGACATTGAGCATATGACTACAGATTCCAACTCTAGTTTTTTCATTGTCCTCTCCCCACCATGACCTGCAACAGCCCAGAAGTCTTTCTCAAGGCTTCTCTGTAGCATTCTGAAATTCAGTTTCTCCCAGAAAAGGTCAATCTCTCCCTTTTCTTGATTCAGTGCCACCTCTCAACAGAAACCTGACAGCCTAGAAAGTGACATCCAATAAATAGTGTGCCCCCCACTTTGGGGAAGCACTGTCTTGTTTCTGGTCTTCTCTCCTCCTTCTCACTTTGGTGTGAAAGCTTTGTGTTTCCTAATCCTCCTGATCATGCTTGAGTGATAGGTAGATTTTAACAGAATATCCATGAGGAATTTCACTAATTTCTAAGGCTGTCATCACTGGAAGTTTCAGTCTGGGTGACTGACAAGTGATTACTGCGGGTAGCAATATGGATAGTAGTATCAACCTGGATTCAAATTGATTTGGATTTGAACTGTGAAGATTTTGTTGACTCGTTCATTCCTCCCCGCAATACTTGGTGCTCTAAACAGTTCTCAGCAGTCTCTTTATGTTACCAAGCATATGCTGGTATTTACAATTAACACTGAACTATGCATTTACAAGGAATGAGCCCTTCCTTCATGAGTCACCTGTCTTTTCCCTCTTTTATAAAGTTTGAGCTAAGATCATTTTGGAGAGCACAGTGGCACATTGCTCATTTGTTTCAGCAAACAACACTCTGTCTCAGGTAAAGGCAAAAATGCCTGCTCTATTAGCTCAGCTATCCTATTTCTTTCACGGCCTGGCAAAATGTCAATATATACTATAAAGCATTATATACATGTCCACTTTTTTTTGGTTAGCAGTTACAAATATTTATTCACAGGAAAATGTCTCAGCTCTATTTTTTTTATTTCAGTACTCTGCATGGAATTACCTATCTCTCTCATTATTTATTTGTTAACAAAACGTAGGAAAAATTTTAGGAGAAAGCATTTCCTATGATTATCATGTGTCTTCTATATTACCCTCAGGCTTATATTTCCTCAGGCTTAAAAGCACCATGAGGAAAAGGCCAAACTCTTTCTCTGTTGGAAAATATACATAAGATCGAAGCAGTGTGATCTATTGGTTGATCATGTGCAACTGTCAAAAACCAAACTTGGCTGTACCAATGCCTGCCTCGAGAGTCAACTCTAAATGAATGTAATGATGGGTAATTGTTCCCAAACTGTGTATAAAGTGTTCTAAACAGTTCCCAGTTGTCTTAATATGCACCATTTAAGAAAAATTAGCTAATCTGAATATGCAAATATGATAATATGCCCTCTATGGGCTCATGAATGTATTAACAGAAAAGCTTGAGGAGTTATGCCGGTAAGTCACATGCATTAATGCCCTGAAGTATGTCTGAGAACTTAAACTTTTGAACATCAGGTTTAGGTAATGGAGCAGTGTCTATATATTTACCTTGCATGCAAAACAAGTGTGTTTCATTTTTAAGGTAAATTTGAGATTAGGATTTAGTTAAGTGGAAATGATAGGGCTTCTTTGCCTTTAAGAAATGGACAGATTTGAAGGTTTATCTTCATGAAATCAGAGGATTTTAACCTGAGAGTTCAGGTCTCCCTGATATATTGCCAATTTGGGAAAAGAAAGAGAAAGGGGACTTAAAAAAGAGAAACTGGAAGAAGGACTTCACATAGTTAAAATTTTTGCAAGATTCCTTTAAACTATTTCTGTGCATTAGACTTGGTAAAATATAAATATATGTTGATTTATTATCTATAGAGTCAGAATGTTTCATTCATTTTTTATCATAACTCAGACTTTCTCTAAGGATTGATTCTTTTTGTCAAAATTTAATAATTCTGTTTTTTCACCTGCTGACTGCCAAGAAAAATAGCATGTTTTAAAATACTTTTAAAAATAAATTACAAGATTTGAGATAGAGTATTTGTTTCAGTACTTTAAAAATAATCTATAAATTGAAAAGATAGATTTACTTCCAGTGTAAATAGATAGATGGATAGATAGATCCTTCATCTTTAGGAAGTCTTCCAGGAATTTTTTTTTCTAGAGTGCATTGGAAAGATATTTTTGCCTTCATTACTGCTTCTTTTAAAAAATTTTTTAATAGATTTAGGAAGTATAAGTGTCATTTTTTATTACATGGATATATTATGGAGAGGTGAAGCCTGGCCTTTGAGTGTAGCCATCACCCTAAGAGTACATAGTACCCACTAAATAACTTCTCATTTCTCACTCCCACATCCTCCCACCCTTCTGAGTCTCTAGTGTCTATCATTCCACTCTCTATGTCCATGTCCACGGGTACCCACTGTTGAGCTCCTACTTATAAGTGAGAACATGTGGTATTTGACTTTCTGTCTCTGAGTTGTTTCACTTAAGAGAATGGCCTGTGGTTCCATCCAGGTTGCTGCAAAAGACATGATTTCATTCTTTTTTTATGGCTCAGTAGTATTCCTATATATATATATGTATATATATATATACACATATATATATATCACATTTTCTTTATCCAGTCATCTGTTGATGAACATTTAGGTTGATTCCATATCTTTGCTATTGTGAATAGTGCTGTAATAAACATATGGGTGCAGGTATCTTTTTAATATAATGATTTATTTTCCTTTGTGTATACACTCAGTAGTAGGATTGCTGGATTGAATGGTAGATCTATTTTTAGTTCCTTAAGACAACTCCATCTGTTTTCCATAGAGGTTGTATTAATTTACATTCCCATCAACAGGGTATAAGTACTCCCTTTTCTCTGCATCCTCACCAACAATCTGTTAATTTTTTTACTTTTTCATATTAATAATAGCCATTCTGACTGGTGTGAGATGGTATCTTACTATGATTTTAGTTAGCATTTCTCTGATTAGTGAAGTTGAGCATTTTTCATATCTTTGTTGGCCCTTTGTATGTTTTCTTTTGCAAAATGTCTGTTTGTGTCCTTTGCCCAATTTTTAATGGGCTTATTTGTATTTTGTCGTTGTTATTGTTATTTGAGTTCTTTGTAGATTCTGAATATTAGTTCTTTGTCAATATATCCTCTTGTTTAAATTTTACTTTAAGTTATGGGATACATGTGCAGAACATGCAGGTTTGTTACATAGGTATACATGTGCAATGGTGGTTTGCTGCACCTATCAACCTCTCATCTAGGTTTTAAGCCCCACATGCATTAGATATTTGTCCTAATGCTCTCCCTCCCCTTGCCTCTTTCTTATGTGCAAAGTTCTGGACGGCAGCATGATATGTTGGAGAGTGGATATGTCTGGCCTGCGTTCACTTCAGATCTGGGCTTTGGCACATCTGTGCAATATAGCTTTGTGCAACTTCCTCTCACCAGCTTTTTCCTTATAAGGGAAACACCTCAAACCTTGTAACCATTGTAAGCATTAAGTGATAAAATTTGTGGTTAAAAATATAAAATCTATGTAAAATATACAATACTATATAACATTTGCTTGTAATATATATTTAATATATTTCTTATTCTTTAAATATATTTTACAAATGAATATCTTTAAATTTTTTATTAATAAAAAGCCCAGCAGTTTCTCAGATACACCAGAAGCTCACTAAATGATACATCCTTTACATCCTTCCCCTTCTTCCCTGCTAGTGGTCTTTCTTTCCCTGCAAACTCATTGCTATGAACCTGAATGGGTTTTTAAAATCTCTCTCTCTCTTTTTTCTTTCTTTTTTTTTTAGACAAGTTCTCACCGTTGCCTAGGCTGACCTTGAACTTAGACTATCTCTCTATGGAGTATGGAGTATATAGAGTATATACATATACTGTCTCTATACATACAGTATATATGTCTCTATATATATATCCACATGCATCCATACAACATACATACAACATTCACATATTGCTGTCCTACCCTTAAGCTCCCTTTATATGAGCTCTCTTTAGACTCCTCTTAGCTTTTGATTTACCCTTTGATTCTTGCAGACAACATTGCTTTTACATGTAAAATGGCTACAAACTGTTATATTAATTTGTGTGGATATAATATGAATCACAGAGGAAAAGCTCTATTGAAATATAATGTATAAATATAAATATCCTTTCTCTTCAGCATGGCTTCTGTACTGTAAAAATTGGTTTGGAAGCTCAGGGATCACAGGACCCTGGAGTGCCGGAATCAAGATACAACCTGCCTTGTTAGAAGTAGAGGTGTTCCTTTGATCATTCACTTCACAAGTCTTAGAGCATATTCCATTGTTTTCCTCGGTGAATTCGACGTCATATTTCCCATGGAAGAAATCAATTGTATGTCCCACTTTAATACACCAGTGACATCCACTTAAAATCTTCCCAGAGCTGACTACCTACAACTCCCTGCCCCACCCCACCCCCCACAATTATGTTGCATGTGTAACTAAAGTTCTCACACTTGGAAAAAGGGCCACTCCACTCTCTATTTCTCACCAATGTTACATTATCCTATTACCTTGTTCCAGCACCTGCTCAGTGCAAACAATTAGGATTCTGTCCTAAAGGCCAATTATCATTAGCTGATGGTGAGCTTTTGTTAAACGGCCCTGAGGGACTCACCACAATGTAGATACAATCCCAGCCCTAAAAGGATCACATCAGCCAGTACACAACTACAGTGTGTTTTAAAGATTAAAAGAGCAGGATCTGCCAATACAGATGATAGATAAGAACCTATGCATCCTATTTTTATCCCTGTTCTATTTACTACCAGCAGCGATGCTCGGCATGGCAGCCAAGGTTTCTGTGTCCTGTGCCTGTAGTCCGATAACCTTTCTTGGTTGTGTTTTATGATGCCATATGCTCTATCCTAAAATAGTGCTGAGGGTCCTCTGAAGAAAAACTACCTAGCCGCTTTCTGAATGTCAGTGGAATGTTTAGAGACAGTAAGGTGAGCTTTGCTGTAAACTCATTTTGACTCAGAGTTCTACTTGGCCAAATGCTAATTGTGTGACCTGGGAAATTCATTTAATCTCACCGATCTTCTGTTTTGTGAAGTACAAAAAATGGAAATACTGCTTCTATCTTATGATGTTAGTATGATATTTAAATAAGGTGATACATACACACCTTATATTAAATAAGGTGATATATACACAACTTATATTAAATAAGGTGATACATACACAACTTATATTAAATAAGGTGATATATGATACACACACACACACACACACACTTCTCATTGTTTTATTAGTCTCGATAGGCTAGATCGTGTTGCAGTGAAAACAACTCCCAAATTTCAGCAGCATGACACAACACAAGTTCATGTCTCATAGTACAGGACTGCTGTGGGTCGTTAGATAAGCTGAGCTCATCACTGCGTCACTTCAGAACCCAAAGGGAAGCCATAGCTGCTATCTTGAACTTCAGTTATCTTTTATAGGTCAGAATGGCCCCACTCACAAAGGGTTCTGGCTGTGCCAACTGCAATCCTACCATGTGCCTGAAGACAGCAAGTCAGAAATATTTGGAGGGCACTAGTAATGTCTACAATATTTGTTTCACAAAAATGAGATCATATTTTAGTCAGTTTTGTGAACTTTAATGTTCTCATTTAACAATATATTGTGGAAATCCTTCCAGGTCCTCTTATTTAGGTCTGACTCATTCTTTTTAGTGGCATCATGCTATAAATATACCACAATTTATGCAGTCATTCCTTTATTGCTTGACTTCCCAGCTGCTTTATTTTATTTTATTGTAATGTAAACACACTTAATAGCACCTTTATGTTCTGGTACTTTTATTTCTATAAGACAAATATCTAGAAGTGTCTAAATCTGCCAAAAAGAAGAAAACATAAGGCTATGTTTATCAGTCTATAAATCTCATTTAGAATGGGATTTATAGTTTGGAGCAAAATGTAAAGAAACTGAATACTTTGGAACAACTAGAAGTCTCACTAATCTCTGATAATTTTCAACCTCTACCTAATCTGTCCCCTATTTATCCCCAGACATGAGCAGCAATACCTAATCCTAAATTTTTTTTAACTTAGAATAAGAGTCTTCCTTGGATATTAGCGATACAGGCTTTAGAAATGCTTAATGTTACAAGACTTTGCAGAAAAATTTCCACCAGACCAGATCTTCTTTCTGTCATGTCCACAACGATGATATTCACTCTGAAAACATGGCCTATTTTGGAGATCCTTTTTTTTTTTTTTTTTTTTGAACTTAAGAGGTAGACTACCCCAGCCCTCTTCTCATCAGTGGTAATGTGGAAGAGAAAGCAGTCTTCCGAAATAATGCTGCAATCAAAAAACTACAGGAATCATATTCTGGATAGTTCTCCTTCAATCACCTCTTTCTCCACCTGTTTTATCTAAAATGATTCCAATCTTCCTTCTCATCATGTTGCTATCTGCTAAGTGTTCATAGAATAATTTTCACAGAGCAATCCCCTTAGTAAGCATAATTATCACAAGCCTAGAAGTAAAACTACTTTCCATTCAAAGTTTCAGGGAAACAAACCTCAGCTAAAATAAACAAATAAAAAATAAAAAACAAAACCCCACAAAACACACAAAAAACTGCTCACACATTTAGATGTTTCAACTAGATTGTTTTATGCAATTGTTTCTGTAAACTCCTTGTCCACTAACTAAACTTGTCCCTGGAGCTTATATCAAAAGTCTGCCAGATTTGATCAAGAGATAATAAGGGAAAAGCTAAAGCCAAAGGAACTTTCGCTTTAGGCTTCAAAACACAGTTGGCAGAAAAACACTGTGGTGGAAAAGCCTCACTTGCGGGGCAATCAAAGCTTGTCAATCATATGCAGGAGTGACATTCAAAATATTTAATAACTAGACGTGCAAGAGTCAGAAAGAATATTCAATCTGTTGGAATAGATGCCAGCCATAAACAATTCATACAGCTGGACCAGTGCTGAGGCCCTGAATATGACCTCCACTTACATACCCCTAAATTTCCTAAGGAATTTTCACTAGCCATTCACAGCAAGCTCTGATCACATCTCCTTGCTCGAAATATAAATGTATTATATCAAATATGAGACAGCCTGGAAGCTATATCTCCTCTTAATCACAGTCTTCTCTTCCATTCCACTCCATACTTCCAGTCTAGCATCTGCAAAAAACAAACAAAAAACTCAAACCAAAAAATACCCCCAAAACAACAACAACAACACACACACACGCATAGCAGCAGCGCTGCACCATTCTGTGTCCATGAACCATTTAGAAGTACTTTTTAACCTTGTTCTTAATCTGCACTTTGTAGATGAGCTTGCAGTTCTGGTTTTAACATACTGCACATTTAGAGCAAACCTGGAAAAAAATAGATGCTATTCTTGTAATAAGAATATCACATATTGTTGATGTTTAGGGAGTGTATTGTTTCCTAGGGATGGTGTAACAAATTATCACAAAGTTAGCGGCTTAAAACAACAGATATTTATTCTCTCACTCAGTTCTGGAGACCAGAAGTTCAAGTTCAAGGTGGGCCAAGATCCCTCCAGAGGCTCTTGGGGAGAGTCTGTTCCTCCCCTTGCTCCAGCTTCTGGTGACTGTTGGCATTCCTGTGGCAGCAGTGTCACTCCCATCTCCGAGTCCATCTTCACATTGTCTTCTCCTCCTCTGTCTGTCTCTCCTCTGTGTGCCTTTTATAAAAAGCACTTCTCACTGGATTTAGAACCCACGCAGAGAATCTAGGATAATCTCCTCATCTCAAGATCCTTAACTTAATTAAACCTGCAAAGACACTTTTGCCAAATAAGGTCACACTCACATGTTCCAGGTGGGAGAGGCGGACACCATTCAACCCACTGCAGGGTGGATAGGAACAGGAAAGGACACATAGAAGCAGGGTAGAAATTGAATGAATAGCTTGAGTTCAAATCAAAGAAAAAATACTGGGTGAGGAAAAGAAGATTTTTATAAAAATCTTTTCTTACATTAAATATGTATAGTAATTTCTATTTGAGTACACTTCCATTGCTTTGCCCTGTGTTGACCTTAATATTTTGTATTTCTACTGTATCTTTCTCCGTAAGAGTTAAAGCACTTTTGTGAGCATTTTTAAATTTCTACCCTTAATTTTGATTGTAGGTTTCTTTAAAGTCTCATAACAGCTGGGCATTCAAAATGGGGAGGAGCATAGGCAAGCAGAAAGCAGAACAAAGCCTCAGTTCACAGGAGATCACACACTGCTTCTCACATTCAGCCTTGGGGGATTTCAAGGTCTGCAGTTGCCCTCACATCACCCTAATGGTGGGATCTTCTGGAAAACTCCATTTGCTGGCTGTAACAGGTCCTGCCAGGCCAATGGCTGCCCATCCTTGACCTCCCCACCCCATGAACTCCTAGTCTGCGAGCTTGCAGTCTCCCTACACTGCCACCACCACCACCACCACCACCACCACCACCCTCTGCCCCCTACTGCTTCAGATCAACTTTCTCAGGGGACTCCTCCTGCATATACGCCATCTCTTCCACAATAATCACTGCAGAACTCCCTTTACACATGACCCTCCCCACCCCACACCCCTGATGTTAAATGCATAGATCTCTGTGGCTACTCTTGGTTACAAACTTCCACACGTTTTCAGCTGGCTGTCTTCTGTTATTCTTATATGTCCTTGTATTGAGTGCACCCTCTTTCCTATTAATTTTTTTTTTGAGACGGTGTTTTGCTCTTGTTGCCCAGGCAGGAGTGCAATGGCGTGATCTCGGCTCACTGCAATGTCTGCCTCCCAGGTTCAAGCGATTCTCCTGCCTCAACCTCCCGAGTAGCTGGGATTACAGGTTCGCGCCACCACACCCAGCTAATTTTTGTGTTTTTAGTAGACACAGGGTTTCACCATGTTGGCCAGGCTGGTCTCAAACTCCTGAGCTCAGGTGATCCACCAGCCTCAGTGCCCCAAAGTGCTGGGATTACAGGCGTGAGCCATCACACCCAGCCCTTCCCATTAAGTTTCAAGTTCCATGAGATCAAGAGTCCTATCCATGACTTACTTTGGAATGAAAATATGTGTTCCTCTGGTAGGCTGATTTCTAGAGTGTGCATCTGAAACCTCAATATGCATCCAAATCACCCGGAGGTCTTGTTAAAATGCAGATTCCGGGCTAGAGCTTGAAGTGCTGCATTTCTAACAAGCTCTCAGGCACCTGGGATCTGCTGGTCCTTGGGGTCATATTTTACGTAGTGGGGTCTTAGGGCACCCAACAAGTTTCAGAAGGGGATCTGCAAGTTAAGTGTATCCTAAATAAGGGATGGGAAGGAGACTGTCATACAGCTAAGTGACACTGAGCGTGATCACAGGAGCTCGTCCTCATTTAGATCAACTTGGTTAAAAAAAAAAAAGCTACAAGGAAACGATAATAATGGACACCAGTAGTAATTCTTCACTGAGGCAGCATTCAGGGTACAGAGCAGGGTCAAGAGGAAATGCGGGACAGTGCGCACATCAGCCCTGCTGCCTGCTGAGGCAAGGAGGTAGTGCTGGAAGCTGCCAGATTCGGCCACCTTCCAAACTGCTGCCCATACTAAGCTATATTCCATCCTGGGCCCTTCTTCACACACATTCTGTTGTAACAATAAGAGATGGCACTTCTTAGCTTCTGAAACTTAAACTAATGATTCTCGAATTTAGTCTGAGACACTAAAATGCACACATCTGCTAAGAACAGCATGGTTTCATACAACTTTCAATGGTGATGGAAATATTCTATAATCTGCCTTACCCAATGCAGTGGCCACTAGCCACATGCGGCCACTGAGCATGTGAATTGTGGTTAGTGCAACTGAGGAAATGAATTTGAATTTTATTGAATTTTAATTCATTTAAATGTAAACAGCCACATGTTGCTAGTGGATACTATATTGCATAGCACCATTAGAGGCTGCAAACTCAGGGAGGACAGTTCAGAAAGATGGATCCTCAAACAAGAGAAATGACTCTCCCAGGTAAACTTCATACCTTTTATACACTTAACTTGAACAAAGGGCCCCTACAGCCCAGGGCACATCCTTTAATATTTGAGGCTAAGCTGGTGGCTGTGTCAGTGTTTGGTATGATACAATCACAATGCCCGTTGGCCAATTAAGATAGAAACATACAGAGCCCTTTAGTATTCTGCAAGGGAAATAAAAGATTGCTTCAGTCTTAGTTGCTTTAATGAGGTCAGATGGGGTTTCTGCAGGTCCACTGTTCTAACCTGTGGGGCAGAGAGTAAGGCGGAAAAGGCATGCAATTTAAAATACACATTTACGGAAACATGTAATTTGCTGGTAAATACACAACCTCCTCTTTTCAGAAGGGAGTTAAGGGGTGATAGTTTGGAGGAGGGACCCAAGGAATTACAAAAGAGAATAACAAATGTTTGCTCAGAACACAATGCAGTAAATTCCCTGGTGCACTCAACCAGTATAACAAACAGGTCCTTTGTAATCTCTAAGATAAGGCTTATAATTAGCCAGGGACCGGGTGACATGAATCTGACATGAGTAGACATAGTGGATTCACCTGTGGTTGGCCTGGCTGGTAGTCCAGCAAAAGGGGGGTGGTTGCTGAAGCCCTCAATGGGTACCAAGAGGGATCGAGATCTAATTACAGAGACCTGCATTCTACATCCATCCCCCTCTAGGGGAGGCGATGGCAGCTGGACACCTGACTTTCCTAACTCCAGAATGAAGATGAAGCTCTTATTGTGCTGATTTGTGCAGACTACTTGCAGATGAGAAGTAGTAGAAATGATAGAGTGGTAGAATTGGAGTGATCAGAAGCCTGTTGTAATACAGTAATTTAATATCCTCAGTGGATCGTTGACCTTGTTACCTGTGAGGCAACTGTATGTGTAGAATTCGCCCAGTTGGAGGAGAGACTAGCAAAGACCTGCCTTTTGTGGAAGAGGCAGTGACAGGGAATTGTGAAATTAGCTTTGAGGAAGTTCCTAGAAACAACTGGTAGTGACAGTGCATTCTTTAACTGACACTATTCCAGTAGGTTGGAAAAGAGGACAAGGGTGTGACTCAGAGTGAATGCAGTAGGGTGGAAAGAACACAGGCTTGGGAGCAGGTACACCTGGCTGTAAACACCTGTTTCTCCATTTATGCTTTGCATTGAAGTCACCTGGGGAGCTTGTTAAAGGTACAGACTCCTGGACCCTGCACTGACCTACTAAACCAGAATATCTGGATTTGGGGCTCTGTAATCTCTATTTTTAAAATAAGCACACAAGGTGATTGTGATATAGGGCTTCTCTAAGCCTTAGTTCTCTAAAAGGTGATATCGGACTGGCGATATCTGAGTCTTGGGATTGTTGTGTGAATTGGTGGTTTATTAGAAATAGCATGATTTTAATAAGGCAAATCCATGGCTGAAGAATAATAATTACAAGTTATTGAGCTTTGATTTGTTCTGCATGGTTTGTTAAAGGCACTGTTCTCCCTGCAATGCCAGCTACTCAGGAAACTGAGGCAGGAGGATCGCTTGGGCCCGGGAGTTCGAGGCTGCAGTGAATTGTGATTGTGCCACAACACTCTAGCGATAGAGTGACAGCCCATCTCTAAAAACAATTTTTTGTTTTGTTTTGTTTTGTTTTTTAAAGAAAAGACCCTGTTCTCCCTTTGGAAATCCTGGTAGATGTCACTCGCTTTGCTAAGCCTTAGTCACTGTGCTAAAACAGCTGGAGAGTTATTTGGCCAAATTAGCTGACAATCCCAAAGTCGCAAATTGTTTCTGAGTTTTGATAAAATCAGCGTTTTCTTTTCCTTTTTAATGACCCTGGCGTTAAACAATCTCCTTCGGGTCGGAGAATTTCTATGGGAGGTGAAAACATCAATTATGTTGTAACAGGTTGTCTGCTCCAGTGAAAGTCAAGGGCTACGGGTTGGACCCGCCGGAGAGGGTAATTTGCTGTGGCCCTGGAGGGGAGCTTGCACCCGAGGTTTCCCAGTGCAGCGCTTTCCGTGTGAAACATTTTGCTTTCATTCGGCAGCTTTAGGCGTGAAGAAAAGGGGGAGGGGGTTGGCGTTCCGCCCTGGAGCTCTTGAGAGTGAAGGTAGCTTCAAACCCAGCAGGCTCTCAGTAGCTGGTGCTGAGATTTCCGGAGGGGTGGGGCTGCCAGAGGAGGATGTGCACGTGAGACCCCGAGAGAGGTGGGAGTGGAGCTTCTCAGGTAGGACCCAGGAGCGCCCTGCCTACCCCCTCCTCCGGCTTCGGGATCCGGATTGGCTGGGGCAGCGAGGTCGGCGAGGTCAAGACCCTTTCGGCGCCCTCCCCGACCCGCCCCGCCGCGGCGGTGCTTATATAGAGCGGCCGGCGCGGGCGGGGCGGGGGCATGCTGGCGAGGCCGAGGGGCGCGAGTGGCAGCGCGCGGGGGCCGGAGCAGCGCCCGGCCCCGGGCGCCCGGGGGCCGGATGGCGGAGCCCACGCGCTCAGCGAAGCCGGGGAGGTTTGCGCTCCGTTCGCCGCGCTGCAGGGAGGGCGCGGTGCCAGGCGCGAGCGCCGAGAAACCCAAAAAGAAAGCTTTTTATTTGCTGAGGATGAAGCCCCTGAAGGAGCCCGCCCCCAACAACAACAACAACGTGTCCTTTGTGATCCACTGTCAACTAGGCAAGGAGATCAAACACATTTGCAGCAACTGCAGTCGGGGGGAGGACGCCCGGGACGGTGAGTGCCGGGGCCCGTCGGGGCGGCGGCGGCGAGCGCGGGAGGCGGGGAGGTGGCTCGGGCTGTCTCAGTTTGGGGGCACCGCCGGCGTCTGTCGCCTGGAAAACTGCGGGGACATCCGCACTCCACCCAGACATGACAGCCGCCCGCCGGGCACTTTGCAGAGTGCCACCCACAGCCCAACCCGGGCTCGCAACCCTGCACATCCCATTGACGTATATGGTCCCCAAAATGAGGGTTTTGAAACAGTTAAAAGAGCAAGTCTGGGATTTTCATTTGGGAAGCCGAGGCTTAGGGGATTTGTCGGTAGCAAAAGCGCTGACTCCTGCTTTTTCCTTCCATGGGCTTCTTAACTGTTGCCCCGTCCTCCTATTATGATGGGATACAGGGTTTGCTGGACTGCGTTACGGACATGGGCTTCCTTCGGGTGGCATCAGTTTGGAGAGGCGGTTTGGCTGCGGCGCCCAGAGCCCTAGAGACTTGTGGAGTTGTTGAATGACGCCTGTTTAGAGTAAAACATGGCTGTGATTTTTGGAGTGCCGCTGCTGGTCCCTGCTGGAATGATGCCCAAAGACCAAAATGTGGAGAGGTGGGGGAGGGGGCGCGCAGCCGCATCTTCCAGGTGAGCCTGGGCGTGTGCGAGCCAGAGCTCCCGCAGTCTAATCTGAAGTAGAGCAGTGAAGGCGTGCCGGGCTGCCAGCGACTCTGGGCAGGAGGAGCCCAGAGCGAGGGACCGCCGGCGCGGACCAGGCAGAAGCCTCTGCAGCTGTGGACGCCCCTGTGTGGCTGTGCATTTGCGCGACCCTCCAGGCGGTTCCCGAGCAGCTCACCGAACAGGCTCTGCAGGGCCGCTGGAGGTCATGGAAAAGTTTTAGGCAGCAGATTTTACATTGAAAGCCTTAGCTACCGGCCGACCTGAAGCTCGTCTCCATGCCTGACACGCACACCTGCTTGGGCAGGCAGATTTTCCTATCAGCTAGGCAGGTTTTGCTGTTCCTTTTGGAAGAACAAACATTACTTAGGATCCCTCCCGTTCTTAGTCGGCCTCTGAAGTGCAGAGTAATGAAATGACTCTGGCTTGGCTAATGTCTTTTCAAAATTAGAGTCCTGCTAGCGTCATTATCGTTTTCTTTGATTAAACTGCAAGAGAGGTTGTGCAGGACACCACCAGGCATCCAAGAGGAAAACTGGGACGGCACTGGAGGAAGGCGCACACACAAAACACATGAACGCCCCTGCTATTAGGTGTAGGGGGGATATACGTTTCTGAGAAGCACACACTGACTGACATGTGTTGGTTACTACATCAGCTGATAACATCGAGACCTATGGAATACAAATGGATTAATCAGATGACCCAAAGCCAGACCTTTCCCATGTAACGCAACAGAGCTTGAGATGCAGGCTAAAATGGTTATTAAATGTCAGTTGCTCTCTTGACTGAATTGCTGCCCAGATGGGCTGCTTCCACAACACTGGGAGTTTATTTAAATTAGTGTCTGTAAATGCTGCTGCAGTGAGGAAAGGTATATGTCCATATTCAAGGATGTGTGTTTACAAATGTCATTATGAGTGCTGTCACTGGTAAATGCGGTATACCCCGTCAATGGAGACAGGTATGTATTTTAACCTACAGCACACAGTTCTTCTTGAAACGTGCGTCATCTCCACAGCCTCACACACTTCCAAAAAGCTATGTATGGATGCTCACATATCACCTGATAGGATTATTTACCCTCAAAGGATTCTTAAATAGGGGAGACCGAATGTTATAGTGCCTAATTTTTGCCTAATTTCATGCTGCTAATCCTGCCAATCTATTGTGTGGTGCACTCATTTAATCACCAAAATGGAGTGAGGTCAGGAGTTTAACCCTTCTTCTTTTACTGCCAGAAACCAAAGCAGCACTGCCCACTGTGGAAGTTCCAATAAAATTTCACTTTGGGCAAGATTGCCCTCCCATGATAGTCTGTAGGGAGTGGATGTTCTTTTAGATAAATTCTCTGGAAGCGATTTGCAATTTGAGTCATATTTTCTACATGCCAGGAGCACCAGCTATTTTAAAACATTTGTATGCTCAAGATCATAATGAGCCAAACAGATTTCCCCGATGTCCTGTTTGTTCAGGCTCTATAGAGGAAGGTGCTTCTTAAGGTGAGGCACACCTGTATTATGTCCAGTACCAGAAGTGTGCCTGGTTCCTCATTCATCACCGAAGAGGCCACTTGGTGGCACCCACAGAAAATTCTGATACAACTTGAAAGCCCTTCTAGAAATTTTACACAGATGAAATTTTACAAAGGTATTGTTCACTGAGTTTCTTTCACACTTAATTTCTTTGCATATGAAATAGTTATTTAAAGCATATTTTAATAACTTGCAGTTTAAAGACAATCTATAAAGAATAAACTTTAAAGGATAAAATATGTCTGGTTATTGAGAGGTACATAAAAGGTGAAATTACATTTTAGCAATTATCTTTTTACTCAAGAGTTTTTTTTTTTTTTCCTGGTATCTACTAACTAGTATTAAAGATGTTTTGCTAAACTTATTTTAAGTAATTCTGTATTGTTAAGAAACCATAGAACACAATTCACCATTAATGGCCAAAGACAGTTTTTGTTTCCTTCCGTCTTTGCTGTTTTGGTTCAATACTAAAGCTATTTTCAGGTGAGGAAACAAGCTTACATAGGAAAGCCACAGAGTAAATACAGGGGAAAACAAAGACTCACACCCTCATCTGTTTCACTTTAAAACCAAGATGCGGCTGGGCGCGGTGGCTCACGCCTGTAATCCCAGCACTTTGGGAGGCCAAAGCCTGTGGATCACTTGAGGTCAAGAGTTTGAGACCAGCATGGCCCACAGGATGAAACCCTGTCTCTACTAAAAATACAAAAATTAGCCAGCATGGTGGCACATACCTGTAATCCCAGCTACTGGGGAGGCTGAGGCAGGAGAATTGCTTGAACCCAGGAGGTGGAGGTTGCAGTGAGCCAAGATTGCGCCATTGCACTCCAGCCTGGGTGAAGAAGTGAGACTCTGTCTCAAAAAAAAAAAAAAAAAAAAAAATGCATCAACAACAACCAAGACACTTTCCACTGTACCTACCATCAAGTTGATTTTTTTAATGGCCATTTATCTCTGCCACCTACACTGAATGTGGAACATTAGGTATTGTGGTGTCTGTTTATATCTGTGTGTGTGTGTGTGATGTATACATGTGCAGTCTCAATAAGCTCGGTTTATTATGGTAAAGAATGAGAAGGAATTGCAGAATTTTCTGCTGCATTTAATTGTTTTTTCCCTCCTTACCTACTTGATAGAGAGGCTGACTTTAGTGGGGATAGAGGGAGAGTAATTTACAACCAGGTAGATTAGAAGTTATGGACGTCATAAAGCCATAAGAAACACAGCTAAGTCATCGCTGAACTTATATTAAAAGTTAATAGGAGCATATGATTTAATTTACAAATAGTTAAAAATCAAATTTAGAGAAAATCTAGAAAGTGAAGTATTTTCTGTATTTAATTTCATACACATTTCTGTGTGCATTTGAACTCCTTTTGAGTCCATTAATAGTGAAGAATAATTTTAGGAATTATAATATATTTAATAATTATGTATTAAGATGTAATTTCAATAGAAATAAAATATTTTAACAGTTTTTAAAAATATCTTGAAGCCTCTCAGTCTTATTTTGTAATGACACTTAAAAAGTAATAAAATGATGGATTTAGAAACAAGACGTATTGATTGCAACTGCTTGTCAGTGCCTTTTACATGTAATTTATCAGTAGATCACAGTTGTCTTCATTTTACTATATATGATTCCTATTTTTTAAACATTTATATAGAAATTTACTAATCCATGGACTTGCTAGATGTTTTCCCAAGTTTTGTTTTAGGGATTAGAAACATTTAGCATATTTTCTAATGGATTCCAATGTGAACTTTAGGAATAACAATTTGTCATACTAATTCTCTGCTGTACTGACTGTAGAGTTCATCCATTGAGACAGCCTTTTAGGAGAGAATGCCCTGTGAGTTCCTGTGGATCACATCCCTCATTTTGCAGGTGAGAAAATGAAGATGCATAAGGATTAAGTGAGCAGTCTACCGAGGTCGAACCACCATTTGGTGTCAGGGCTGCTAACAGAACCTGTCCTTGAAGAGGGAAGCAGTTTTCAATTGGGGTTCACAGCTGAATTCTGGAAACGTACTGCCTGTTTTCAGTGTCTCCTCTGCTTGCTGGCTGGGTGATTTGGGAATATTACTATATTAGTTGTGGGGATTCAATGAGATATTTGGTACAAAGCATTTAGCATGGCGCCTTGCAAGAGAAAGTGCTTGAGAAATATTAGCTGCGATTGCTAGCGTTTGTATTGTTACCCCCCAAGTCCAGTTTTGCCTTGGGCCTTTCCCCCTGCTATACTGTGCTGCTCTGCCTCTTCTGTAATTAAACTTCCTTGGATTGAGTCCAAGATGAGAGCACCCACTTCTTCTCTATATTTAAACATATATTTCTAACAAGACAAATAAGGTAAGGGTCAGACTGAGGACAGAGTGGTAGGTTCCACCTTGGGCAAGAGAAGGAAGGTCAGGAAAAGCCTCTTTCAGTTTCAGAAGCAGTTCAGATTGCATCCACTTCCAAAGGAATTCAGATTGCAAGTACCAAAGATGGCACAGGGTTTTTAAGCAGAGGCGATGTGACCAACTCATCTATCTGTTTGTTTATTTATTTATTTACTTATTTATTTGAGATAGGGTCTCACTCTGTTGCCCAGGCTGGAGTGCAGAGGCAAAATCATGGTTCAGGCTATCCTCCCACCTGGTATCTGGGACTATAGGCATGTACCGTCACATCTAGCTAATTTGTGTATATATATACATATATTTTAAACTTTTACAGTTGAAATATATATATATATATATATATTTTTTCTTTTTCTTTTTGTAGAGACAGGATTTCCCCCACATTGCTCAGGCTGATCTTGAACTCCTGGGCTCAAGCAGTCCACCCACCTCAGCCTCCCAAAGTGCTGGGATTACAAGCGTGAGCCGCAGTGCCTGGCCCAAGATGCCCTTTAAAAAAAGTTTATTATGAAAAATTGTACACATATGCAAAAGTAGACATAATAGGATAATTAATTCCCATAGACATATCACTCAGATTCCCCTACTCTTGTATTATGTTAAAGCAAATTTGAGTGAGTTTTTACGATGCTGTTGCTGTTAGTGCCTAGGCAAGGACCAGACAAGACAAGGACCCAGCTCCATGCTGCTCATAGCTCAACAAAGGATGTTTAACGACCTTGAACAGCCAAAAGACCAAGATTCTGCAATATCTGTTTCAGGCTCAGAGTATGTCCAATAATACACTTTCAATCACCAGCAATTCAAAGTCAGCTTGCCTTATTTTTAACATAACTTTGAGCTCATATATAATTTTACTAATAATTTCCCCTTTTGTTCTAATATTGCTCTGACACTTTACAGACATCTGTAAATAGTCACTTAGTTTAGGAGAAGACATATTTAAACAATTTGTGAAATCTATAGCTTGAAATATCCTCATTTGTCTAAAGGAGATAAAAACACTCACATTGAAAAAGGTAATAGATAAAATATATCCATAAAACTTTAATGGGGGTGGGTGAAAGGATCAGTACTTGTTTCCTAGCCCTAAACTTCAATTTCTTCGGTTCACTAACTTATATATGAATGGTGAGAACTTTTTGGACTTGACTGGGCTTTGGGGCCTTCTAGAAGTGTCTAAAAGCCTGAAGGGTGGTAGTCCATTGAGCCAGTTAGGAGCCACCATTGATGATGTTCAATGTGGTACTGCTGGTGGACAGGCTACCTGTGCCAGGGGGACAGCTGAGCTGAAAGCCAAGAGATAAAGGTGAGTTTGTTGAAGGCCAGGTAGCCAGAGAGAGGGGCACAGGAGACCTTACTTCACCCCACAGGCTGTAAGGGAGAAAAGGTAAGTCCAAGGAGGCAAAAGTTGCAATAGAACCAGGAACTAAACAAGAATCCAGTTGTTGGTTTGGAAAAGAAGAAGTGAATTATAGAGATTTTCAGCCCAGGGGAAAAAATCAGCCAGAAGGTTAGCAGTAGACCATTCAAGAGAAGTTATATGATGATTGTTTTTAGTGTTGTATTATTTTTATACCCAAGTCCAGAGGAAGGATAGAACATGGTCATTTGTTTATTCATGTATCAAGCATTGATGCCTACAGTGAACTTACGTGTGAGTAGAGAGGTAAAGAATGAGTTCCTGCTCTGAGAGAAACAGTCCAGCGAGGGACGTTGCTGTGACAGGCAGACTCAGGATGTCATGGACACGTAGGTGGGGAACCCATCTCCTCCCTGGGGGTGAAGGCCAGCAGGTCATGTAGGACAAGATGGTACTTGGGCTGAATTGAGTAGGATGAATAGGGTTGGGCTGGCAGATACCTGAAGGAAAGAGTCACTGGAAGCAGGACAAAGACCAAGGGTAGAGAAAGGTCAAGAGGCCAGAGGAGGGCATTGAATGCTGCTCTTCCAGCGAGGGTCTGTCCTATCTCCTCATGACTGCTATGTTTCTAGTGCTGAGAACGGTGCACAGGTATTATCCACTTAAGATATGTTCAGTACATGAATGTACATGTTCGTTTATTATGGATCTAGTCGATGAATGTGTGTCCCTTTATTACAGTGGCTGTAAGGACAGTGGTGTGATGTGGCTGGGGGATGGTGAGAAGGGCACCTGGGGAGATGGACAGAGGCCACATACCAAGGGCCTGGGATACCACACTAAGGAGCTGGGACTTGCTCCATGACGGGTTGTAGTATTTCCTGGAGGATTTTTTAAAAAGCATTTTTATTGAGATATAATTCACGCACCACAGAGTTCACTAATTTAAGGTATGTAATTTAATAGTGTTTAAGTCATAGAATTGTCATCCATCACCACAATCAATTTTAGAACATTTTCCTTACACCTAAAAAGCAACTCTGTTCCCCTTAACCTATCCATTCATTATTCCATTCCCTACACCCCATCCCCAAATCCCAGGCAGCCACTAATCTATAGGTTTCCCTATTCTGGACATTTCACATAAATGGAACCATGCAATATATGGTACCTTATATATGGTAGCCATGCAATATATGGCTTCTTTCACTTAGCACAGTGTTTTCAAAATGTATTCATGCTGTAGCATGTATCAGAATTTCATTGCTTTTTATGGCTGAGTAATATTTCATTGTATGGATATATCACATGTATTCACCCATTCATCTGTTGATAGACATTTGGGTTGTTTCCACTCTTTGGCTTTGCTGAACATGCCACTATAAACATTCATGCGCGAGCTTTAGCATGGACACAGGTTTTCATCTCTCTTATGTATGTACCTGGGAGTAGAATTGCTAGATTGCATTGTAACTCCATGTTTAACCATTTGAGGGTCTGCCAGACTCTTTTCCAAACTGGCTGCCCCATTTTACATCCCCCCAGCAATGAATAGTATATAAAAGTTCAGTTTCTCTGCAATTTTTCTGACATTTGTTATTATCTGTTATGGATGATAGCCACCCTGCAGGACTTTTAAGAAAGAAAGTCAGAAGGTTCTAACTGACTGAGTTGGTGGTCAAGAAAAAGAGTTAACTCAGTCCACTTAAGAAAACTAGTGATTTTAGACACCTTACATAAATGTATTTATATTACACTTTATAGCTTGTGTATCTTATTTCCTTGTGGTCATCAGAACAACCTTTTACAGCTGGAATTACTCTTGTGACCATTTAAGAGAAGAGGGTCAGAGAGTCAGAGTAGCTCATGGCTTCCTAAATGTCACCTGCCCATGCTGCTGCAGCTGAGCTGTCTGTCCGGTTCTGGCTCCCACCTTCGGGCAATCAAGCCACTTTCAGCTGCCTGGAGATTCACACTTTACTGAACCTCTGAGGAGTGACTGTTTATTTTGGCCAATTAAGTTTAACTTCTTAAAGCAATTAATTAAATGTGAATATGATCATTCAGGGAAATTTGGGCAAAGATGAACACCCAAAGCAAACCGTCAATTCATTGAAAAGTTGAAGTGGAAATTATCTGATGAAGAGGGTGTTTGGTTAGAATGAGGAGGCCGAGGGGACCTCCGACGCCTCTACCTGCTTTTAAGTTTCTTCCACCTGTAAAATGAATTTACTTCCATTCTGCTGGAGGTGCCTAAAACCTATCTAGATCAGGGGTTAGTAAACTATGGCCCATGGGCCCTCTGCCTATGTTTGTAGGTTGAGAATGTTGTTTGCTATTTTAAATGGCTGGAGAAAAATCAAAAGAAGGAGAATAATTCATGACACAAGATACTTATACGAAATTCAGATTTTAGTGTCTGTAAATACAGGCTTATTGGGAAACAACCATGCACAATTGCTTGCACACTGTCTATGGCACCTTTCAAGTTACAACTGCAGACTTAAGTTGTCACAGAGACTAAGTTGTCACAGAGACTCTCGAAGCTTAAGATATTTATTCTCTGGCCTTAAAAAAAAAAAAAAACTTTGCCAACTCCTGGTGACATCAAAGTTGCTGTAAATAGAAAGTATCTCTCCTGTCTGGGTGCGGTGGCTCACACCTGTAATCCAGCACCTTGGGAGGCTGAGATGGGTGGATCGCTTGAGCCCAGGAATTCGAGACCAGCCTGGGCAACATGGCGAAACCCCGTCTCTACAAAAAGTACTAAAATTAGCCAGGTGTGGTGGTGCATGCCTGGAATCCCAGCTACTTGGGTGACTGAGGTGGGAGGATCACCTGAGCCCAGGAGGCAAAAGTTGCAGTGAGCTGAGATCACACCACTGCACTCCAGGCTGGGCCATAGAGGGAGATCCTGTCTCAAAATAATAATAATAATAATAATAAAAATAAAGTACCACTCCTGACCATTTTAGCATCATAGTCTGATTTTAGAATTGAAAATGACCCTGTAGATTATCCAGTGTCCAATTACATATCTGTGTCGTTCACCTGAATTGCAGTGTTGGTCTTTTCAAAAGCTATTTGATGTTGTGGGATACTCAGAGGCACAGGTTTAAAATGAAAATCAGCCTACAAAGAAATAACTGATCTGAATTCAGTTTGTGGAGTATCTTTAGTGTTCCCACTCCCACCCTGACCTTTATGTGGGCTTCAGGCTGGCACATGTTACAAAGAGGGATGACTTTTCTAATCCCCACCTAAGAGTTAATCATCTTGACTCTGTTATTGTTTCAATGTGAACTTTAGAACAATTGCCTCTGCTATTTTGGCACATGGAGATTTGCCTCCACGGTAATTATTTTGCAACCCACAAAAGTAATTATAAAATCAAACAATTTTCTTCTAAACAAGCTGTAACCTCAGCAGAGGCTCTTGGGGGGAAAAAGTTCCCGTTCTTTCGTTCTCATTTTTAGGACTGTGACATTCTGCTTCCCTTGTCCCCTTACCTCGGTTCTGAGGTTATTTCAAGTACAATAGCAACCTGTAGTGAAGCACCATCTTCTTTTGATGCAGTCTCCTTGAAACAGTAGCACTGCTCCCTGTCTATGAGCAGAAAGAGTGCGGAACAAGTAACAGAAGGGGAAAGCAAAAGTGAATGGAATTCTTCTGGCCATGGAAAGTAAAAGAAAAAAATGGGGTCGGGCACAATGGCTCATGCCTGTAATCCCAGCACTTTGAGAGGCCGAAGCAGGCAGATTACTTGAGGCCAGGAGTTCGAGACCAGCCTGGCCAGGATGGCAAAACCCTGTCTCTACTAAAAATACAAAAATTAGCCGGGCATGGTGGCACTTGCCTATAATTCCAGCTACTTGGGAGGCTGAGGCTGGAGAATCACTTGAATCCCGGAGGCAGAGGTTGGAGTGAGCTGAGATCGAGCCACTGCACTCCAGCCTGGGTGACAGAGTGAGACTCTGTCTCAAAGAAAAAAAAAAAAACGGGAATAACAGCCTACCAGACTCAGTTGCATATTAGTTTGAATTATTGAGAGATGCATTATAGGGAGATGTTGCTGATTCTGAAGGTGTTCTCAGTAAGATTTGGCACCAGTATGTCCTCGCACAACTTGAAGGCTGAAATCTGCTGCACAATTAGGGACCATCCCTCTCTGACAGGCTGGACATCTACCAGAATTAGGTTCTTTCTTGGAAGACTTGAAGTCTGTTTATGGGCAACTGTTTGTTTGACATATCCAGTGGAAACTATAGATTGTGTTTACTTATGTTTGGAAACTGTCACCGGTCTGATGAGCTGACCTAATCCACATGATGAGAGGATGTGTAGAGAAGCAGATCTTGGCTGCAGGGACATTGCTGATCTGCTACATTTTCAAGAATCACGTCTGCAAATTTCAGTAACTCACTGATTTATGCATCCCTTTACCATCCCCCTGAAAAGTCAAACAGGCCACCAGACAGGAGCTCATCATCCTCAAAATGATACAGTGAACCTTTTTTGCCTGCCCAAAGCCTTAATGTGCTCATATCCAGAACAAATAGTATGTGGCTGTTTTCTACTAGTCATGATATGAATTATTCATGCACTATTAAGCAGCCTGTGGTCGGAACACCACTACCCAAAGTAAAACTCAATACAAAAGAAGAGGCTTTAATATCTGCAGCTGAAAATGCCCTTTGCCGTGGGAGTAGAAATGATGGGCTACTGGACCCCTCCCATCCTTGTCCCAGGTCTTTGAGGTTGAATCTGTGAATATCAATGCAGATTCCTGTGGTAAGACACTAGAAATGGCTTGGAATACCTGAAAAGTGTAGTAGTCATTGGGCTGCATGCCTAGGTTAATTTTTTTAGTTTTTCTAGAGGGCAAAAGAAGGAGAACTTATACAAAAAGGAGTATCAGGCCAGGCCCAAGCTGGTAGACTGCTTGAGCCCAGGAGTTCAAGACCAGCCTGGGCAACATAGTGAGACACCATCACTACAAAAATACAAAAATTAGCCGGGCATGGTGGTGCGTGCCTATAGTCCCAGCTGCTTGGGAGGCTGAGGTAGGAGGATTGCTTGAGCTGGGGAGGTTGAGGCTGCAGTGAGCCAAGATTGTGCCACTACACTCTAGCCTGGGTGACAGAGCAACACTCCGTCTCAAAAACAAAACAAAAAGCAAAAAAGAGTATCTATAGTCAAGAAATAAAAAGTAAAGAAACATATAATAGAAGAGTTATTCTTTGGAAAAAGAAAACTTAACAAGCATCTTGGAAGACGCCCATATACAAACCAGATAAAAGGGAGATTGCTCTGGTTTAGGCCAGATGGGCAGGCCTCCCCTGACATAGTGCCGCAGAGTCCTGGAATTTTTCAGAACTATAGTTTAAAAGTTGTTCCCTGCTGTCCTCCATTTAGATGAGATACACTGTATTGTAGGGTGGCACTTGCATCTCTAGAATATAAGTATCACCTCATAATAGTGGACATTATACCCCAAATTTAATTCTAGGAAGACGACATCTAATAGAATAACCTGTGATGTAAGTCAGGCATAACCAGATAAGTCATATATTATTTGTGTGTGTGTGTGTGTGTGTGTGTGTGTGTGTGTGTGTCTGTGTGTATGGGTGTGTATGGAATGTCCTAGGGCAGAGTTAGTTTTGGAAACATGTATGTATTGGCTAAAGAATTACATTACATCATATAGAAATTGGTAGGAATATAACATTTTTAGATTCAAATTATTTCCAGAAGAATGTTTAATCTCATGCCAACGTGAATAATCACCTCTTTAAAAAAAGCAACTGCTCAGAATGAAGTTGGAACAGTTGTATAGTCCCTGTGCTCTCCTCTTAACATTGTTGATGGTTCCAAAATGCACCCCTGGTTTTATAAACAAGAGTTGAGGACCAGACAGGAATGACATTTTGCTTTTAAGCCATAATTATGACAGATGGGTCAGCGTGCATTGCTAACTCCAAATACATAATTAGCCATAATAAAATGGTACAAATTTGCTTTGAAAATATCATAGCCTAAATCGCAGTCAGATTTAACTGGGAGAATTTCCACCATGATTTTAGAAAGCAAGTATGGCTTATTTTTATTGCAGAAATCTAAGAGTGCAATTCCTGGCAGTGTTTACCAGAGAGAAGGAATTAGCAGCCTCTGGAGAGGGTTAGGAAAACAGAGCGCCCCTGGGAATCAGGCTCTTAAGTTTCAGTTCCAGTAGCCTCCAAACCAACTGGGCTCGGACAGGTCATTCAGTCTCCCTGTGTTTTAAAATTCTGTGATATTTTAAAATTCTCTGTTTTCCTTCTTGCAAACGGGGCCCAGGTATAGGAGGGTCAAGCTTTTTTTCCAGAGGGTCTTGAAAATATGTAGGAGGTATCTGGAGACTTTTCACAAACAAAAAACACAGGGAGTCTTGTGCTTTTATATCCATAGTGCTGGCTTGTAGAGAGGGAGGAAGGAGACGGATTTCTCTTTTCTTCCCGTCTTCTCCTCTCTGTTCATGGTGGTGGTGGGTGGGAGAATGGAGGACCAAACAGGCATGTATGTGTGATTCACAGGGTGGGAGGATGATAGCCCTTTCATCTCAAGGTGAAAGCGCAGAGGGAGCCCTAGAGCTAGAGGAACAGATGGCAGCGTTGTTGCTGCTACATTGCTTCTGGGTGTGCATGTCCTCACCCCGTGCCCAGCCAAACCTCTTCAGACTGTGCAGGTCACAGAGTAATGGCCAGCTCTAAAGATCAATGTCCTGAAGGCTGCTCTAGACACCAGAGTACCTTGCTGATGGCCAGTCCCCTGTCAAAAAAATAAAAATAAAAATAAAAAATAAAAAAAATAATAACAAGTCTGCATGTCTTAAGCAAAGGTGGTTGGGCTGAGGTTTCTAGGAAGTACAGATCCTTTTCAGAATTCAGTCCTCTGCAATACAGCTAAATCCATAGGTATCACAGAATTTTAAAAATGAACAGCTGGGTCTATGACTTAGGGATATAAGGGATTAGAGAGGATTAGGGACTGGTTGGGAAGTGGGTGGGGAGAAAGAGGGTACCGGGTACCGAGTACCTGCTCCTTTGGTCTCTTGCAAATGCTCTCTTACTTTGCTTGCTTAAGGATATTCAGAGTCACTATTTGTTGGGGTTTTTTCTTTCTTTGTCCTGCAAAAGTTTAAATTAGCCTTATTGCTTGTGAGAAAATAATAATTTTCTGCCTAGTGTTTAAATATATTGAGGTCAGTACTGTTGTATCCAGTCCAAGGTGATAAGGCAGAAAAGACAAGTTCCTTCATTTGTCTTTTATGCCAACGGGAAGTGTGGTCTGGCTAGTCCTCGGGTCCATGTTACTGCAACAGAAACCAGCAGAAGCTGTGCTCTTCCTACCAACACTTCTCAAGTTAAGGGGGCTATGTTGTGCTTCTTTGCTATTTAGTGTCCCAGAGCAGCTCTGATTACACTGTGAGAAACTATAATTCAAGTTCTATGGTTCAATGTTGAGGTTTTTGCCAACTTCAATGAGATGTTTTCCAAAATGTGTTCCACCTAACACTTGCTGCACAGGATGGTAACAATAATATGTGGAATTTTTTTTTTGAGACAGAGTCTCACTCTGCCACCCAGGCTGGAGTGCAGTGGTGCAATCTAGGCTCCCTGCAACCTCTGCCTCCTGGGTTCAAACGATTCTCCTTCCTCAGTCTCCCAAGCACCTGGGATTACAGGCATGCGCCACCACACCCAGCTAATTTTTTGTATTTTTAATAGAAACGGGGTTTCACCATGTTGGCCAGGCTGGTCTCGAACTCCTGACCTCAGGTGATCCACCCGTCTAGGCCTCCCAAAGTGCTGGGATTACAGGTGTGAGCCAACGCGCCTGGCCTGATATATGGATCACACTAGGGTGGAAAACTGAGCGGAACAAAGTTAAGCAAATGTTTTTGTCTCAGAGCCCCTGGTGTGAAAATGTGCATTGGTAATCTCTAAGAACAGGGTATAGATGCTTCTTTACCCACATGCATTTTATCACACATATGTCTTGTTTTTTGTTTGTTTGTTTGTTTTGCAGAGTGCCACAGGTGACTAATGTCCTAGAGGAAAATTAATGTGCTGCGTTAGAATCTTCCAATAGAAAGTACTGTATTGACTGACTACATTCCCACTTGTGAGAGATAAAGAAACACACACTGAGATTCCTTTGTGATTTGTTCTTTTCTACCAGAAGCTATTAGCTTGAAACTATAGCATAGTAATTGAGAAGAAATGTTTCCACTGTTGCTGGACATACTTATTCAGTGATTTTTAGTTAACAGAGATATAAATGCAAATTAAATTATTATATCAATCATACTTTTGCTTCAATCAATCCAGGAATCAGGAGCTTCCTCTTTTCCATAGCAGGCAGTATGACAGAATGATAGGGCAGGGTTGATGCTTCTGGAGACCTTGTGATTGCAATGCCTGGAATATTTCGGGTCAGCGTTTTTCAGGCTGAGGACTGTTGACATTTTATGCTGGATAATTCTTTACTATTGGGGAGTGTCAGGTGCGTCCTGTACATTGTAGGATGTTTAGCAGCATGCCTGGACTCTACCCACTAGATGCCAGTAGCACCCACCTCCCATTTGTGGCAACCATAAGTATCTCTAGACCTTGCCAAATGTCACCTTGGAGACAAGATTGCTCCTGAGTTGAGAGCCACTGAATAAGGAGCAAGGTGGGTACTGCTGACCACGAGTGAGTTCACCAAAGCAAGAGTTCAGTGTGGACTAGTGTCTAGGAGGAGGCTTTGTATGAAGAGGCTGGTTTGGATTAGTAGATTGAGGAAGGGAGAAATGCTAAGTGGGGGGAATAACATGAACACTGGCAGAGGGAAGGAAGGAAGAGTAGGTGTACTGGCTTTTTGGATATTAGCAGTAATAACATTGCTTATTCACTTATTATGTGCCAATTATGAGAATTAATCTAATCTTCCCGGGATAGATACTATTTATCTCAATTTGGTAGAAAAGGAAAATGAGGCTCAGTTGAACTAGATAGTATGCCTGAGTCTCACTGGTAGTAAGTGTTGGGGTTAGAGTTTGAAACCAGGTTTCTTTTAATTACAAGACTGTATTAAAATGATATGAATTTGAAAGAACATCAGGTAAGATTAAAGAATGTTAAATTGTAGACAGAAATGTCTGGACTTCAGGGGATGCCCTGCATAAAGTAACGGCAGAGTCTTCAGCAGAGGAGTGGTTTGGTGAAAAGGGCATATTGGATTCATCTCGCAGCATCAGCCGTGCAGAAGGGATGGGGAATTGATTGGAAGTGGGCTGAGATGATGTGGGGCTGAGCAAGCTATAGTACAGGTGTGGAGGAGTGGGGCTTGGCATGGCTAGTGACGGCAGAATTTAATGGGCTTCACTCATATAGTACTGCCATCATTCAGCAGGCAAAATACAAAGAGAAGGTAATTACTAGCTCTCAAGATGGCTACAAAAATAGATGGAGGAGCATACTGACATGAAATGAAGCTACGTAGCTAGGAGTACAGTGTTGAGTTGACATTACATATTATTGAAGAGTTTCAACAGGTGTTGGCAAACTTTGTCTGTAAAGGGTCAGATAGTAAATATTTTAGGCTTTCACCATACGGTCTCTGTTGCAATGACTCTACTCTGCTGTTCTAGTGCAAATGCAGTGAGAAGCAGTGCATATGTAAATAAGAATGGCTGTGTTCCAGTAAAACTTTATTTATAAGGAGAGGCAGCAGGTCAGATTTGAACTGAAGGTCAGATTTGTGCACCCCTGGTGGACTCTCAAGTGTGACAGACAGAACAGGCACAGACCCCAGATGTGCCACTTGCTAGTTGTGCGACCTTCTCAGACTAAGCCTCAGTTTCTGCATCTGTAAAATGGTGAATCTGATAGCATCCACGTTTAGAGTTGGTGGTAGGATTAAGTGAGATAATGTGAAGTGCTTGGCACTGACCCTAGCATATAGTAAGTGCTGAATAAATGGTGGCTTTTATTGTTATTGTGGTTACAAGTATTATTTTTATACTCCTGGCCTTTTTTCCTTCTTTATTTTCATTGTATTAAACGCATTCACACTGAATTCATGCTTGTGAGTGCAACAGACGTTTTATTTGCACTTGTTTTCTCTAGATTTCTTGAGTTTGAAGGATAATAAGGAAAATATCTGTAGTTCCTACCAATGAGGATTGTTATAAGTATAAAATTCATGTGAAGAAACTTACACAGAGTTTCCTGTCACTTAGCACTCAATATATTATAGCTAACGGGGAGGAAGAGAAGATGTTGAAAAATAAAGTATTAAAATGCAGAACATAAAAAAATTACTTAGAAGTCTTGTGGAATTTCAATTAAATAGGAAATCTGATGGGGGAGATTTTAGCATTCAGTGTACATAAACGGTTTAGTTTTTCACGTTTGGAATCAATTAATTGCTTGGCTTTGTTAATTAGGGATTCCCTGAAGTAGAATCCATTGCTCATAAACTAGGAATGTTAAAGCCAGTCAAGGCATTTGCTTTTCAAAATGATCTGTTTGTATTATAGCTGAAACAAGATAAATCACACATGTGAAACAGCTGTCTGTTGGTACTGAAGAATAGTTTCTGTTCTACACCTTGAGAATACTCATTACAAACACTCATTCACGTGCTGAGACAATGATCATTCAGTAATGTATAGAAGAGGTGAAAGCAGAACTCACTCAACTAGGTCTAGTTTCTTTAGGATCATGTGTTCAGAGGATACAGACAGCAGGATTTATTAGCCTGAGCACTATTGACATTTTGGGCCAGATCATTCTTTACTATGGAAGACTGTCTGGTGCATTGCAGGATGTTCAGCAGTATCCTGGCCTCCACTCACTAGATGCCAGTAGCAGATGTCCCCCACCCCACCCCAGTGGTGACAATCAAAAATATTCCCAGATATTTGGCCAAATGTCTCATGGGAGGCAAGATTACCCCTGGTCCAGAACCACTGATGTAGATTGATGTTTAACAGTGCCTGGAGACATTATGTCCCAACATATCCAAGCAATAATAACTTATTCATATTGGAATATATGCCTGATTTCTCAGGATAGTCTTAATTTTAGGTATTCTGCCCCACTGATCTAATGTAATTGGAACCCCATGTATTCTGATATTTTTTTCAATTTGAAAATAGAGTGACCATCCCTATGCAGTGTTTGTCTATTTTAGGACTTAGCTGGAATACTTAGTTGGAATATGTTTATTGTGCCACCATTCACTTTTAGACTTTGTGAATTTTGCTTAGACAAATAGTTGATGTACTTCATACTGGTTAGCAACATTGAATGTGGTTATATCCCAAGAGTGATGTAAGTCTACCACTAGTTTAATTGAAACGAATTCTATTAAAACTTTAAGATGAGGGGTGATACAATTTTTTGATCTGATTCTTCTCATATGAAAGCATGGTCATTGATTGTTTTTAGTAATATGCCACATTACATGTGGCTGGGAAGGGATGACTTTTTAGGTGCATGAGGGGGGTATTGTTCTACCTGTCTAGCAGGACACCTTTCCAGGTAAATTCTGGCACATTGGCTATATTCCCTGAAACAAGTTCATTTATTTTTAGGATGCATTTAATTTGTAAAATAAGATTGACATTACTCATGTCTTTAAAACAAGTATTAAAAATTGCCACTTTTCTTTTTGACTCACCTTTGCCCAAGGAATACAATAGTAGTAAGAAAAATGAAATCAAAGTTTGCATTTCTTACTGGATTGACACCAAGTGCTAAATGTAAATGTCTGTTTAACCTGTATTAAGATGGTCACTTACAGAGGATGTGGAGAAAGATGTCAGTATTTAAATTATCTTGAAAATATTTACAGTAAGAACATATGTAGTTTTCTGTATCACTATTCTGACCCTTATGGAATTTACTAGTGTAATGAAACACCCAAATTTCAGCATCAGGAAAAGCAATTCTAGAATATAATATGTTACCTAATGCTGCAGAATAATTACCCATGGAGATATATTTCAGATATTATATAGCCTGTGAATAATTTTGCCAACTCATTCCTTAGTCTATTCTATATTTACCATTTGTTAAAGAGACACATTATATACTGAATATCAGTACCTTGAAAAATAATTGTGGCCCATAGTATTTTAAATGTTGGCTATCCTAAAACGTTAAGTTCAGCTTATTTATTTTATTCAGAGTCTGTTTATATGTAATAATGTGCTTTTATTCTCTTCTCCACTTTATTTTATAGCATTTTACTGTAGCAGAAGACCTATATAAACAAATGACAAAGCATCTGTTAGCTTTGAGCCCTTAGTCCTTGTGAGGGCTCATGATTATGATTATGCAGTAGAATAAATCCTATTGTTGCTATGTTTACAGCAGTGTTTTCTAGATTCTTTTTATTTGTGCATACAGGATATCCCTGTGCCTTATATATTTATGCGATATTTACTTTGTCATAAAATTTTTATTGTTTGAGAATATGGAAGATGTTATGAAAGATTTTTTTTTTTTTGACATGGGGTCTAGCTCTGTTGCCAGGCTGGAATGCAGTGGCACGAACATAGCTCACTGCAGCCTTGAACTCTGAGCTTAGGTGATCCTCCCGCCTCGGCCTCACGAGGACTATAGGCATGCAACCACCATGCCCTGCCTAATTTTTATTTTTTATAGAGACAGGGTCTCACCATGTTACCCAGGTTGGTCTTGAACTCACACAATCCACTCACCATGGCCTCCCAAAGTGCTGGGATTACCGGTATGAGCTACTGTGCCCAGTGATATGAGAGATGTTTTGTTATTCTTTTATGTTGTTATTTTTAGTTTTGGTCAAAATTTCCCGTTAGAGGAAGTCTCGATTTTGTAAAATTAAAAAAAGTTCTGCCTCTATTTCTGAAAGTCGTAAAAATGAACGTGACTTCTCTTTCCCCACTCTTATGATTTCATTGTTTTTCCAGAGTGCTAAGGCATTCATCCTAACTTGCAACTACATATATAAGGAGGCAACTCTAGGAAGAATACGCCAGCCAGACCCCCCAAAATTAGGAATTACACAAAATTGCCTTTAAACTCTCTTATTTAAACTTTAGATTTTTAATGTCAACAAAATTCTTCTCATTGCTTTTTGGCAGGGCTATGATTTGGAAGAATGAAATGAGACTATTTTCCCCTCTGTACCTGTTTCCAGCCCTAACCAAACTGTAGACATGCATCTGTTTGAAGTGACTTTTCATTTTCACTGTGCAATGACTGCATACACTTGTCATATTCTAGCTACCAGGTTATCATCATACTATTATACATGAGAGTATTACTGCCTGTTTTATGGACAAGTTGTCTTATATGGCCATGCTCTGTTAAAATGCACCATTATATCATTGATTCCTTCGGTAAACAGCCATACTTAGCAGTTATTGGCAATTAGATAAAGAAAAAAGAATTTAAGGCAACTGTATAATGCTGTTTATTTCAAGCCGTTTATCCTAGCTGGTCAGCCTGAGAACCAGAAAGGAAAATGCTATATACAGGATTGATTCAATCTGTCAGAATTTTGAAGCTTAATTCATGCAAACATGGCTGCTGGCATAAAAGTTGTTTCAACTTTTATAGTATGAACTATTCTAGAAAAGAACTTTCTCAGTGCTATAAAGATAGAACTGACTTACTTTCTTCCTGTCCCATAGAGTGCCCTAAACAAAGAACTAGTTTATGACTTTTAATAAAATTGTTCATACTTTACACCAAATATAATAAAGCAAAATGGTCCTAAGAAATAATTTTAAAACCTCCGTATGAACTTATCTTCAAGAAAATCTGAAATTGTTGTCTTGTCTAAGCCAATAGATGAGTGTGTGTCCCACAATATTTTGAGTACTTGTGAAGGACAGGACTTTTTCTTTTTTCTTTTTTTTTTTTGAGACGGAATCTCGCTGTCGCCCATGCTTGGAGTGCAGTGGCGCGATCTCGGCTCACTGCAGGCTCCGCCCCCTGGGGTTCACGCCATTCTCCTGCCTCAGCCTCCCGAGTAGCTGGGACTACAGGCGCCCGCCACCACGCCTGGCTAATTTTTTGTATTTTTAGTAGAGACGGAGTTTCACCGTGTTAGCCAGGATGATCTCGATCTCCTGACCTCGTGATCCGCCCGCCTCGGCCTCCCAAAGTGCTGGGATTACAGGCGTGAGCCACCACGCCCGGCCAGGACTTTTCTTTTTCTAATGCACAAAGCTGCACACAGAGCAGATGCTCAATAAATGGTTGTTGAATTAAATTCATAAAACGCAGTTTGTTGGAGAAACCTTTTGTTAAAGTACTTAATATAGATTTTTCCCCTCCAAACCACTTCCTCTCATATTTTATCTTGGAGGTTCAGTTATTACTCTCTTAGAGAGCTGAGAAAGAGCTCAAGATGAAAAGCTACTGTTTCTCCCCCAGTGGACATGTGGCTGAGTTCTGCAGATAATTAAAAGAAAAATTCCTGTTACTGGTATTAGGGTTGGGGCTGGGTTGTTATCTGAGTGTTATAGAGAGGACTTGTTTGCCAGACTTAAATTTTCTGACTATGGCTTCTATATTTGCAAATAAAGATTTCCTTAGCCTGCCTCGTCTTCCTGAATTGAATCTTTCTTGAACCAGCTCAATCCTGTAGATGCAACTAATTTTTATAAGTATCAAAGTGAACAATTGTATTTGCATTTGAGGCAGTATAAATGGCACACAGAAAAAGTCCTTTTCTGGTAGTGAAAAGCCAGGAAATAGATAAATTACTTTCAATGTTTCTTGAAGGATAGTTCAACAAATATCAAATGCTGTTAGAAGACCTATGAAAATATTGACTTCATGTTGTCTAATTTCTTTCTGCTTAGTGGATCTACACCAGATCTCAGGCAATTTCTATTTAAATAAATGCCTTAAAGCCTTCAAAGTATTCATGGGGTGTTTGCTTTGTGCCTGGCATGATAATATTGTGAATGTATTTGAGTTACTCTTGGCTTTGTTAGTCAATTTAGCTATAAGATTAAAACCCAAATTATTTTATATTCCCTAGACAAAAATTAATCATAGATATGTCTTATTACACCAGCTAATGGGCTCTGTTGTTATTAATCTATAAATACTTCCATTTTTCATTAGACTGCCATTTTCACATAAATTAAATCCTAACAGATAAAAATGAATTTGGCATCCAATTAAGCCTGAACTTATTTTATTATATACCCTCCTCTCAGAATCTCCTTATTCCCCCCTCCCATTTTTTAGGTAGGGGTTTATCTTTTCAAAATATAAATATTCCAGAAAAGTTCTATATGATTTTTTTTTAAACCTAACAACCCATTTTACTGCATTGTTCTAGTTTCTGTTTAAATAATTCCTACAACCTTATTTTAAAATGCAAGCAATTCTCTAGGTAAAAATAAAACTAGTGGAATGTCAAGGCAAAATTTATTATACTTAAAGTATTATTTTATGATGAATTATAATACTAATATTTGCTGGGCACTTAACCATGTCCACGAACTGTGTTCAGTATTTAAGTACATTATCTTTTGAAATACAAGAGCCCTATGAAGAAACTATTATTATTCTCATTGTAAAGTGACAAAATTTGCCTTAGGTCATGGGACTCATGACTCTCCATGCTGAAGCCATGCTTTTACATGCTGCATTGCACATACGTCAGTGATAGCCTTGGGGAGGAAAGGTCACATTCAAGGTCATCAGTCATTCCTTTATGCCCTGCACATTCAACCACAACTTCCACTAAGTACCATCTGTAGATTTGTTAGGCTTAAACACAAACGTAATATTTATATTACAATGATGATATATACTTTTCATATAGCTAATATTAGTGCCTACCACATGCTAACTCCATTGCTAAATGTTTACATATATTCATTTCGCATAGCAATTTAAGAGATAGGTTCTCATATTTTCTCTATTATACAAAGGTGGCTACTGAGGCTTAGCATATGGCTAGTCGCTGACAGTGATGGGATTAAATCCACCCCCGCATTCCAAAAAAAAAAAGACTGAAGAAAAGAAAATTATAGAGAAGCTTAAAATTGTCTATAACTTTATCACCCAAATAGAACCACTGTCAGCTGAGTTTCTTCTTCCAAATCCTATCCCTATGCATAAATAGATATGAAGATAGGCAAGTAAGCCATTCTTGTAGAAAAATAGAATTATACATAATATTTGGCAAAACTAAGCAACAAACTATAGCAATTTTTCATGTCAATAATGAGAGCTGTTTATAATTTTTAATGGCTGCATAGACACGCATTAAATGGTTGTTCATTTAATCAATCTGTCATGGTTGAACATAGGGGTCATTATCTTTTTACAGTATTAAATACAAATAGAGCTTAAGTTGTGATGTCACTCTTCAATAATATGTCAAATATGACCAAAATTAGCAAATCCTCTTGTGGCATATGGGACAAACTCATGTGAAAAGCCAATGGTCACCTTGAAACAACAGCCTCAGTTCAAACTCGAGATAAACTTACAACCAAGACAAATTTCTAAGGAAACGTGGTAGCCTCTAATCTTACCCTGTCATGCGAGAAAATTCTCCACATGGTATTTCTTACCTGTGGTTTGGAGGTAGATGCTGTCTCTTATTCCACAGCCCTACCTCCAGCCATGGCTCTGCCTGTAAGTAAATAAAGGATAAATCTTAACTACAGTGGTTTGTCCTAACCATGAATATTCCAGGAGATGGGAAATATACATACTGAAACCAGAGCCTATCCTTTCTCTGAGAAACATTCATTCATTTATCCATTCAAAAAATAATCACTGGTTACTTCCTATGTGTCATAAACGGTCCTTGCCCTCCATAGCAAACATGGAGGGTAGGGTCATATCAATTAGGATGATTTTGGCTGCTGTCACAGAAGTTCTCCTGCATCTTGGCCCAAAAAGTAAGGTCATTTATTATCTTATATAGCAAATGTATCAATGAGGCAGGCTCCAGGCCTGATTACCCCATGATTCTCTGCTCTGCCCACCTTTGCTTCAGGACTCTATCCTCAGGCCAGTTGCAAGGTGGCTACAATAGTTCAGGCCTCACATCCTGACACCATAGTGATCAGAGGCAGAAGTAGGACTTAGAGATACAGAATAGGTATCTCTCTCTAAGTGTGAGAAAGCCATTCTTAGAAGCCTCACTACCTACAGGCACCCCCCCAAACTCCCCATTAACCTACCTGTTAACCAATCCCTAACCAGAGATCCACCCACTAGAGCTTGGGTGGGATCAACCTCTAGGAAGCTCATGGTCTGGTGAAGAAGCTAAGTGTTGGAGCACAGTCTGGGTTATATTAAAAAGGAAGATGGACAGATAAGGGTGCAGCATTGTCTTTTACAGAGGAAACTAGCATGCATCAGTGACTGGCTAATTAATTAGCCAGGCAGACCGAATGGCCTTGAGGCAGAAATGATGGGTTTCTTGTGTTTGAAGACTAGAGTGAGGAGTAGAATTGGAGCCAGTGAGTGATTGGAGATGGGACAGAACATGTCCTTCTAAGCTGATGGGCAGACTCCAGGGCGTTAAGAGCAAGGAGGACCCATTGGGGGATTCATAGAGGAACCATGGCATGCTTTGATTCATCTTTAGAAGAGATGTTCCTGGCTGCTGTGTGGAAGACTTGAGGGCAAGTAACAAAAGTCAGAACACAGAAACTGATGATATGGATAACTGGTCTACATGAAGAGAGAAGTGGGAAGAGTTGGCAAATAGTTAAGAGTTACCTTTGACCAGTTTTGATGATGAGTTAGAGCTGGTGGCCATAAGGGAAAAGGTGGTATCAAGGACAACTCGTTGGTTTCTCTCTGAGCAATTACATCACTGGCATTGCCATTACTGAAGAATGATCCAGTTAAGGGTAAGAATAACTCACTTTAGATAAAGTGAAGATGAGGTGCCTATGAAATGTTATTTGGAGATGCAGAGTCATGATGAGACTAGTAGTAATTCAGATATTTTTCCAAATATTATTTTGTATGAAATAATATAATTCTCACAATAACCCATGAAGCAGATGCTGTTATTATCCCCATATTTCAGATGTGGTAACTTAAGACCCAGAGAAGTTAAAAACTTGGCTGGTGTTACACAGCTAGTAAGAACTGTGTCAATGAGAAGAGCCTTCTGGGCTGGAAATATAAATTTAAAAATATTAAGATTATCAATGGTAGTTAGAGCCATAGGTACAAATGAAATGGTCTAGGGAGAACTGAACCATGGGAAATTCCATAATTTAACTCAAAGCCTGAGAGGTACAAAAGTACTCTAGAGGAAGAGGAAAGGGAGGAAGCCTCCCTGGGGATCAGCTACTTTTGCATGAGTGTTCAAGTGTTTAAAAAAAAAAAAAAAAAAAGGAAGGACTTGGCTCCTTTACAAACTAAAAAGCAGCTTATAAAAGGTTCTGAAATTCTGCCAGAGACAGAGTGTGAAATATGGACATGCATGTTAGCACTTGATGTTCTGCCACTTACAAACTATAGAGTTTGTATAAAGTCAGGCAAGTTACTTCTTTGCATTAGGATTAGGTTCAGCTGCATAAAACCAACTTAAAATAGTAATAACTAACATAAGATAGGGATGAATTTTTCTCTCATATAAAAGAAGCACAGAGGCGGTCAGTTTAAGGCTGCTATGTCTGATGGCTCCAGAAAGTTCTTAAAGACCAAGATGCCTCCTAGCTTACAACTCCATTATTACTATGAAGTGGCCCTTGTCCTCACAGTGCCTGCCATGTTCCAGTCATCACTTCTCTGATCTAGAAAACTGGATGAAGGGAAAAGCAAACCAAAGAAATGGCATATCTCTTATCTTTAAGCAGATTTCCAAGAAGTCACTTGGAACACTTTAGTTCATATCTCATTGGTAAAAGCTATAATAGGCCACACCTACCCTCAGAGGAGGCTGGGAAACATTCTTTTAGTAGGGCAAAAAATCAAGATGTATTCACTAAATAGAAGAATGGATTTGGCAGGCGGCCAGTTTTCTCTGCCATTGTCAATTTGCTCTTTTGTAAAATAAGATTTAAAATATTCACTTCACCTTTCTTATTGGTTTGTTGTAGGGATCAAATGATATAATAACTAGGCAAGTGTTTGATAAATGATAGAACACTATTCAGATAGTTGCTGTGAGGATGACCATTTACTCCTCTTGCACACAGTAATCACTTAAATATGTTTTCAGTGAGAAAACCTTCAAAAATATTTTCTATTTGTAGGGTCTAAAGCAGGAAATGTGGATTGATAAGAGAGAATTTTTTTCTGCAAATCTTGCATTTCAGTGACAAAGCCTTTCTTTGCCTTCAGAATCAATTTCAGGACAGCCAAGATTGATATTTGATTAGCTCTGCAGTAAAGTTCCCATCAATAATTGCCTACTCTCTGCTGAACTCAGGCACTCTCCTGAGTTTTTCTGGTAGATAAAGTAGAAGAATTATTTGTGGGGATTGCAGCTCATGTCATTAACCCACCTGGTCCTCACAATTCTGACTTGCAACATAACAAGGATGCCAGACCAAGGTCCCTTGTGGTGACTGTTTTTAAGAGAATGGCTCTTTAATTCAGAAACCAATTGAAATGATCATTAAGAAACAGAATGCAAAGATAGCAGGGCACTCTGGAAACTGTAGCTACTTATTGTGCGTAGAGATTCCCAGGCATGGATAAAAGTAAATGAAGTTTCTTTTCCTATTAAAATAAATCTGGGGTAGTCAGGAATTATCTGTGAATACTGATAATCTTTTTAACTTTTGAGCTTGACCCCAGAAACAGATGATGCTTTTGCATTAAATAATGACCTTTAAGATTATTTCACCACACAGGGCAGTTTCTATTATCTTTCATTATATACATGCTTTATATGTTAATTCCTCTAAAAATAAGATAATGTTTTCCTTTGCACAGTACTTTGCATCTTAGGATTTTAAAGAGCAGAAATTTCCTCTTCTCTTTCTTCAAAATCCCTACCCTCATAATTTGAGATGTATGTACACTAAATGCTTAACTATTTTTTGCCACATCAATACATCATAACCTCCTGCACTCATGGGCCTTAGTATTTCCCAAAAGGTCCTGAAGGGCAGGGCTGAGAGCAGGACCCTTGACATCAGCCTATTTCTCTATTTCTCTATTTCTTGTGCCTGCCCTTTTTTCTTTCCTTGACCTGTTGCCTTATAATTTAATGCTTAAATTTTGGAAAGGGAAAAAGGAACAAGCACAAATAGAGCTAATTTAGTTAAGATGAGTTTCATTATGTGTCCTAAAGGAAAACTAAAAAGATACTATATACATTAAAAAACCATATTGCAAGTAATGCAGGAAAACATATTTGACAGATGATAAGCCCAAATTGTAGCCAACAATTCAACTTGGGGAAAATTCCCACTGAGATCTGGTGTGGCTTGGTTAGTTTCATTGATGAGTCTTATTGGATAGTCATTAGCTGCTCTTTCACTTACCCTCCAGCTGAGACACAGGACCCTGCCCACCAGCCACCACCCTCGTGTGAGATTCAAGTAAAATCAAGAGTGTATACAGACTGAAACGGTTATAAGCAATCAACACTCTAAATTTGGAGTCAGGAAATCTTTAATGAGCACCCACAAAATGCCACTTATTATACTAGAGTTTCCATGTATTAATATAATGGTTGTATATGCAATCAGAGAGCTAGATATTGCTATTCCCATTTTTTGTAGTTAAGGAAATGTAGTTTTGAGAGGCCGATTAACTTGCCTGTGGTTACACAGCAAGTCATGATTAAATGCACTTAAACCTGATGTTCAAAGTCCCAATTCTAGGCTCTGAGGTCATTATATCCAGACATTTGGAAGAAAGAACTTAAGGAAAATAATAATTTAAAAATAAACACTAAATCAAATGTGAATTCAGAGCTTCCTATGTGGCAAAATTAACAGGTGACTTTCTCTGTTGAGACCTCTTTAAAAATTTAACATCTTTCATGCAGAAGAATAATAAAAAGTCCCCAAAGGAATTAACAGGACAAAAATAATACGACATTTACCTCTGAAAAAAGACTAATGGAAGTCAATTTCTGTGTTCTGAGACAAGGAAAATTAAGAATTCCTTGTGAAAGTCTTGACAAAGATATGAGCAGGGTTCCTTACTTTCTGAGTAATAATCAAAACAAGTCCAAGTTAGAGCCACTGGTGGTAATTAAAATACATACACACACACACACACACACACACACACACACACACACACAGAAGAGAAGAATGTTTTAGCAAGGATCAACACCCTTGCAAAAATACTCACTTCAGCAGTACTATTTGGATTTCACCTCGTCACTAAACAAATGATAAATGGCACTGAAAAACTCACCTGGGAGGTAATGGGAGCTACATAAGGAAACAGGGTAATGTCATCAGAGAGAGAAAATGAGAAATCTGAGCTTAAAAGGAAGTAGACTCAAGAAGTGATTCTCAAATGGAATGTAAAGTTTCATCAGGTTCTCTATCATCCTACACTTAATAGGTAACAGAGTGGCTGTTATCATGAGATTTTGGAATGAGTTCAAGAGAGAAAAAATGTCCAGGAGTGTATTAACCTTGACAGTATTAATGGAGGGAAAGATTTTGCAAAGGTTGAATCAAAAAGCCTGCACTGCCTGGTCTTGAGCATCCTCAAACCATCCACAGGAAAAGATGTGTGATGATACGTCTCTAGACTCAGTCCTGGACCACGGCAACTTTGTGTGAGTTGCCACATTCTAGGCAAATCCCTTGACTCCTCTGTGTCTCGGTTCCTTTAACTATAGAATGGTACAAAACGATACTCAACATTTGATAAATTGTGTTTCATGGAACACAAGTCTATAAGACCTTAATGGTGTCCCACAAAAAAACACTATCCAACCATATTTGTGATTAAATTAAGTTTGGAAAATAAAGGGTTCAACAGAGTTTAAAAGGTTTATTGTAGACCTTCTCAGAGCCATTAAAAGGCTAAATTGTAATTCGATTCTTTGAGAAAATAGTACCATAGTCATATATAGAGAAACAAATGAAATGTTATACCCCACCTACATAATGGGGGTGTTGTGAAGATCTAATGAGATAATAGATCTAAAAGCACTTAGAATAAAGCACTACATGAACATTAGGCATTTTAAAATTATTCCCAGTGATTTCACGTTTTAGGGACTGGCAGGCAGCACTGAAGTATGATGGAATTTTCTACACTAAGGATCTTTCTTCTTAGCCAGCCACCTGAAGGCAATGGATATAGTTGGGAAGAAGGGAGTAGGATCCTAGGGTTCATTAGGAATACTGCAGGCCTCAAAAGAGTGATTCTCAGAACACTGCCGTCAAAGTTACCTGGGCTGCTTATTTATGCATTCATATTCCTGGTTCAGTAGGTCTGAGATGGATTAAAATTCTTAACAGGTACTTCAGTTGATTCTTATATGCACTAAATTTTGAGATCCACTAGTCTGAAGAGACAGCACAGTTGAGAGCCTCCAAAACTGTTTAAATTCATGTAAGTCCTTAAGGGATATTCTAGTGGTGACATGGTAACGAATTTCACCCCTAGTGGAACGCTTATTAGCCAGGTGGTAATAAGCTGATACCAGAGGAGACTTTTCACTTTTAGATAACTTTAGCTGAGCCCATGTTCTGTGCCCCAAAAGAATGCTTTTAGTATATGCCTATTTATCTTTATAAGTCTGTATTATCCCCATTTTACAGAGAGGAAGCCGATGGGACTTTCCTAAGGTCACACAGTGAATTTGTTAGAACCCTTTTAGTTGCAAGTAAAAGAGAACCCCACTCAACCTAGTGTAAGTAAAAAAGAGAATTTATTACTTCGTGTAAGGAAAATATTCAGGGTTATAGTGGTTTCAGGCAGGGCTGGATCCAGAAGACCAAGTGATGTAATGAGGTTTCAGTTTCATTGAGTCATCTCTGTTCTCTTTGTCTCTGTTGTGGCTCAATTCTCAGGCAGCCTCTGCCATTAAAGTGGCTGAAAGGGCTGGGCATGGTGGCTCACGCCTGTAATCCCAGCACTTTGAGAGGCCGAGGTGGGTGGATCACTTGAGGTCAGGGGTGCGAGACCAGCCTGGCCAACATGGCAAAACCCTGTCTCTACTAAAAATACAGAAATTAGCTGGGCGTGGTGGTGTGCACCTGTAATCCCAGCTACTTGGGAGGTGGAGGCACAAGAACCGCTTGAACCTGGGAGGTGGAGGTTGCAGTGAACGGAGATAGAGCCACTGAACTCCAGCCTGGGTGACAAAGTGAGATTACATCTCAAAAAAAAAAGGCGGGTGGGGGGTGGCGCTGGGGAGGCTGAAAGATTATCCACAGCTCTATAGGACAAGGGTTAACAAGCTATGGCCATGCAGGCCAGATGCTTGTTTTTATAAATAAAGTTTTATTGGAATACAGACATGCCCATTTGGGCATATTAGTCTACTGCTGCTTTTACAGTGCATCAGCAGAGTAGAGTACTTCAACAGACTCTATATGGTCCATAAAGCCTAAAGTACTTACTATTTGGCTTAACAGAAAGAGTTTGCTTACCCCTGCAGGGGAAACCAGGCTTTGTTGAGGTGGGATTTGAGTCTGTAAAAGGCACTATTTATTTAACTGCAAGAAGAATATCAGACCCTAGGGTCTAAAGATTTAAGATGAAAAAAGGGTCTACGTTATTTAAAGATTGTTGCTTTGGATTAACACAAGACTTGGGAGTTTATTTACAATTTAAATAAGTTCTGTTGCCAACACAAATGTATTCTATAGATTAAATGAACAACAGAATGTTTTATAAGTTTTTGTAGTCATTATATGTGTTAGTGGTTGAAGGATACATTCCTGGGAGATAAAACAAGAATTTTGTACTGAATATCTAAGGAAGAATTTTGATAATAACATCTATTAGCTCAATAAGTCTAACAATATAGAACCTGTATAATTTTAAATTTAAATATTTAAAATTTTATAATTTTAAATTTAAATAGGAACTTTCCTCCCTACCTGTCTGGTCTGTTCACAATGTGCTCTCTTCATTGCCCTGTGTTCATGGAATAGAAGTATCTTCATCCTTCTAACACAGTTCTTAGGAAATATGAAGTATTTGACATAATAGGATCGTTTCTTCTCAACGCTTATGAATCATCATTGTGACCTGGAAATTCTTTTAATATTAACCAAGGCTAAATGAAGATGTTTTAGTTTGTGACCCCTACTTTGATTAGGCTTAGAGCCTATGTAATCTGCAATCCCAGTTGAAAGAGCATGTTTATCAGTAGTTCCAACAAATTCCAGCATTGAGTCTCATTGCCTGGCCAAGCTCAATGACTCATCCCTGAATTAATTACTGTGGGTGGAGGGTGGAGATGCAATGCTCTGATTGGCCAGCACTGGGTCACATGCCCACCTCTGGCGTCAGGACGGAGATGAACTTCCTGAACCACCCAGAGTGCGAGGAGAGGAGGAGTGACTCTCCAGAGGAGAATGAGGAAGCCCTTGCCACCTGGTGGGGGCCAGAAAGAACTCACCTCCACCAGCAGCTATTAGGTGGTAGATTCCGGATCTGGACCCACATCCTCCTAGTTTCGTAATATTTTTCCCCTATACACGATGGTTAGCATTTTCTAAGTGAAGCATATCTGAGCCTATTCCAGGCCTGACTGACACCCGCTGAGTTCGTAATTGTAGCTTGAGCACAGGTCCTTAGCAGATAATGTCCTACCGGTTCTTCTTGTCCTAGTGATCTAGGGCGGGTATTCGCCAGGGCACCTACAGACAGGTGTACATCTATATTATATGACATTTTATGGTAAGACAGCTCCTCTTTTCCCTTGCTACAGTAGGATCAATTTATAATTGGCATCTGTTTTGCAGCCTTTTCAAAAAAGCAGCTCATTTCCTCCCTCATCCCTGAAGCCCTCCTATGACTTTAGTGAGTAATACAAAGATTCAAAAAGCCAGACTCTCACACATTGAGGAGACATTCTTGCAAATAGGCATGTCTTAATTAAAAGCATGTGTTTCTCTTCTTTCGAGAATCACTTTTTCCTATTCATTAGTCCCTTCTCAATTTCTCCAGCTCTAAAATGGGGATAATATATAGCCCTCGCTCACAAGTTTAATTTGAGGATTATATAAGGTAACACATTTTAAGTGCTTAGATCAGTGTCTGGAATAGACTTAGTGACTGAAAAATGTTAGCTGTTATGGATGCTGTCATCATCATCGTCATCATCAATGATCATCTTTACCGTCATAATAGTCATCAGCACCGATACCTAAGGAAACACTGTACCGTTTACAATCCCCCCTCCTTTTAGGAGGAAACGCAGAGTCCCATAAACCGCATTAGTCATGTGGCCTCTTTCTGATACAGTGGCCTACGATTCCAAAACCAGTAGAGCCACCCTCTTGCTTTCTTTAAAATTAGTACATCTTAGGGCACCAGGATTTATGGATGTTCTTGTATTCTTGGCTGTCAATTCATGCTTCAGGAGCAAATTAACAGAAACATGGGCCATCTTTGGACCTATGGATCCCTGAGTTTTCCTTCCTTCCCATCTCCCCGCATTGTATGTCAGCACAGTGTTTTCCCAGGGGGCCACTAAAGGGCAGCTCTGCCTGTCCACAGTGCAGGAGGCAGCAGTACACCTATGATGAAAGCATCCCTAGGAACTTGCCTCCGGCAGTGGGGAGAGCTGCCTTTACCAGGCAGAACTCTGTAGAAGCCAGAGACAAAGGAGGAAGTTGGCCAAGAGCCTGAGCAAATCTGCTGAGAAGTTTGGGTCCAGGTATATGGAGCCTCCCTCCTTTCTCCACCACTCCCAGACCACAGGACTCTGTCATATAGGCATGCACACACTATTGATTCTTCCCCCATGAGGACTACCATTCTTGCAAGCAATAAGATTGATAAGCAACTCTCTCAATGTAAACATTGACCTCTCCCTCCAGAGATGTAGTGGGGAAGACTGCCAGATGTCATGATGTGGCGTAATGGTTGCATCTGGGGTGTGGGTGTTGTTTTGTGTGGAATGTAAGTGGCGTTTCCTCTGATGGTTCCTAGGTAGAAAGATAGCCACCTGTGTGTCCAAGCAGCTGAGGAGCACCAGAGCTCCCTCCTCCTACCCATCCCCACCGGGACTTGCATTACTCAAGTCATCCAGTTTTTGGATTCAGACAGATAAAGCCTTAGTTAAATGTTGCTGTCTCATTACCATATGCTCAGCCAGTATCAGTGTCCACAGCTTGGTGCTAATACATAAATTGGATCCCTCTTTGACTGGATGCTAAGGGATGGGGTGGAGGAGGGTGGTGCACAGAGGCGCAGAAGAGCCTGAAAGAAGGAAGTGAGGGCAGTGAAGGTCAGTGATCCTCGTACTCACCGATGTTAACATGAGTACTCTCTCAGGCATCGTGTCTGTGTTTAATAGCTCTTGGACAACATGGCCTTGTTGATTTATCTCCCAGCTCCTTCATGGTGTATATTTTTCCTTTAACCAGGCAACCTCTCTGTGCTAAAAGAGTCTCTGTTGTCCCCATCATTTTCCCTCTTTAATGCCCAATCTTTGTCCCATCCACTCCCCACTTTACGTCCCCATCCCATTCCTAATGAAACCAGGTAGGCACTCTGGATTTTTAGAATAAACATGTTTTACTCTTTAAAAAAAAAAAAAATCAAAAAACAACAACAAAAAATCTTCTAGTTAATCAATTCTAGGTTGTCAGAAACTCTTCCAAGAGATCCAGCCTCTATAAGTGTATGGCATGACTTATTCTAGAATGAAAAAGGAAAAATAGTGTCCTCATATGCCTGATAATTCATATCAACCCTTCATTTATTTATGATAAGGTAGCTCTGAAAGTGACAGTACATTTATAAAAGGGACCTTTCTGAATGGCTGGGCACCTGTGTGGCGTCATTTTGCAGGGCAGGAAAAGGCAGCGCAGGCTGGCCGTGGAGGCTCACACCTGTAGTCCCAGCACTTTGGGAGGCCAAGGTGGGCGGATCACATGAGGCCAGGAGTTCAAGACCAGCCTGGACAACATGGTGAAACCTTGTCTCTGCTAAAAATACAAAAATTAGCCGAGTGTGGTAGTGCACGCCTGTTGTCCCAGCTACTCAGGAGGCTGAGGCATGAGAATGGCTTGAACCTGGGAGGTGGAGGTTGCAGTGAACTGAGATCATGTCACTGCACTCCAGCCTGGGTGACAGAGCAAAACCCTGTCTCAAAAAAAAAAAAAAAAAAAAAAAAAGGCAGTGCTGCTGCTTCAGCGTAGTGAGCTGACAGCCTACCTTACCTCCACTCTGATCTTTGGTTCCCATTCCTAGGGTGGTGAAATAAGGGAGGTATATAACCCCTTCTAATTACAAGCAAAAGCGAAGGTTATCAGATCCTGCAACATAAACGTTCTGTTATTGAGTTCACTTAGGGTTAAGAAACAAGAATCCAATTTATGAGAATCTTAGGTCCTCCAAAAACCCTAGGAGCATTTAGCACATGGGGAGATCTCCACTGGGGTCCCAAATGGGCTGCCCTCCTGCCTCTGGTGCTGACTCTGACTAGACATCAGATGGCACAGACACCATGCTTCCTTCATTCCAGGCTGCTCCCTGGGATACTGTATGACGAGCACTTTCTAGGCCAGCAGAAAGCCAAGGTGATGCCATCTTTGCACAAGCCTTTTGAAAGCCAAACCACCATGAGAAATATGGTGTACCTGAGGAGCGCCCCGAGCCCCGGCCCAGCTCCTCCCGCTGCATGCCCTAGGAGCCCACCAAGAGTAATCCCAGGTTGCCACCAGGGCTGGGGTTCAGAACACCATCTGGCCTAGGTACTTTGGTTCTTGTCATTAAAATCATGCATACATCAAATATTTTCTTTCTGGCCTGTCTAAGGAGAAAGAAAAATCATCTCCCAATCATTTCCACCCTATGGGTAAAACAAAACCCAGTTTTGTCATAAGTGGGAGCCCAAACTGTGTGGTCCTTCAAAGAGTGTTCTCTTGGATGGTAGAGCAGGAAAGACCCCAGGAGTTTGCTTGCCCATGGCTCTCTCCTCACTTCAGCCTTCTGAAGGAGCTCAGCTGCCCAGCTTCCAACGTTTTGATTCAACATGCTCAGTCCTGGCAGTTGACATTCAAGCTGATTCATGTGTGGCTCAGCATTTTCTCCAGACAGCATGAGGTAGCCACCTTTGAGCAGGCCAAAGTGAAGCTGTCTTTACATGCTCCATTTCCAAAAAAGGCTGTTTGTGATTCCAAAACATGGCAGGCCACGCCCTGCTCTCCCACTTGCCTTCATCCCTTTCTTTCTCTGGTTCCTGCAATGGGAGACCACTTTATCCTGAGACCTGTTTTTTGGTTTCCATTTCTTTGTGTGTGTGTGTGTGTGTGTGTGTGTGTGTGATGGAGTTTCACTTTTGTCACCTATGCTGGAGTGTAATGGTGCAATCTTAGCTCACCGCAACCTCTGCCTCCTGGGTTCAAGCAGTTCTCCTGCCTCAGCCTCAGTAGCTGGGATTACAGGCACATGCCACCACACCCAGCTTATTTTTCTGTTTTTAGTAGAGACAGGGTTTCACCATGTTGGCCAGGCTGGTCTTGAACTCCTGACCTCAGGTGATCCACCTGCCTTGGCCTCCCAAAGTGCTGGGATTATAGGCGTGAGCCACCGCACCAAGCCTTCCCTTCCTTTTCAAACTGTGTTCATAAGTTGGCTCACTCTTGAGCCATCCTCACACTTAAGCCTTCCAATATCATTATCTGATGGCAAAGCTAGCCCCATCATCAAATTAATTGGAGAAAAATGTAATGGGGTGATTAAAATATAAATCAGCTAAACCTAATGTGATCCAGTCTGCTCAATAATCTACTGAATTTAAGAGCTAAACATCATGAATTTCATAATAATACTTATTAAGGATTCATTTAACTATTGAGTTATAATTATACCTTTATAATACCCTGTGTTCCTTGCCACTCTTGGTTTTTCAAAGGCACTTCTAATTTCATATCATTATTTTAATGGGGCAATTTCAGAATAATTTGTATCCATTTCTTAAAGATGTGATTATGGAAAAGCGTTTCGGTTCTCATGGCACTTTTTTTTTTAAGACAAGTAACGATACATATTTTCATACCTCTGAAGATGTGAGCAAATGAACTGAATCAAATGCAGTTACCCAGTTATCTACTCAGTAAGTCATTATTGAGTGCCAACTATGAGAAGCAAACTCAGTATCAACCCTGAATAATTACTATCTTGATTTTTTAAAGGATTCTGTATATAATTTCTCTTTAACCTGTAGCAGATGTTTGATGTTGGCTGAACTCAGAGAATTCTCAAACTGAATATTTTAAAAACTTCACTTTTGTGTCTTAGGCTGTTTTGAGAATCAAAGAATGATAGGAAATCTTCCAACCAAATGCAGATACCCATCCCCTTGAAGCCCACTAGGATCCAGAGATCCCGGGATGAGTGCTTCTACCAGGAGTATTTCATTTTGGCTATAACACGTGTTTAGAGAAGTACTAGAAGATCATTCTGAGCAGCTTACTCAGGTTGAGAGTAATAAGTCAGGTTGTTTTAATATAAAAAATAGGTTATTTCATGGAGGAAAAAACTTGAATAAGTGATTCTTGGCCTTGTCTGAAGGCCAGTACAGGAAATTAGAACTTCCTACTGTATGCTGTGGGGAGCCACCTGCAGTTCCTACAAGGAACAGGCTTCTAGTAAAAGTATCCAATACAGGTTTGAAGGCAGGAGAGTAAGTCTGGGAATATAGGTTTGGAGACTTGTAAAATGTGGACAAAAGCAACAAGACTATACACCAAGGTAAGGAATGAGGGGAAAGTGATGAGTATGAAAGAGGAAGTGACCTGTGAGAATCAGACCTCTGGACTATGGTGACTTTGCTTCTCTCCTGGACTCAGCACCTCTTTGCTGTGGTTTCCCACAATTATTACTACTTGTGTGGCTCTGCTGACATTGTTGAAGAAGCACCAATTCAAGCAGCTGATGCCTTTTAAAAAGCAGAATGCTCAAATTCAGTGTTACTTCTGAGGCTATTTACTTGCCTGATTTGATTTCTTTTTTTATTCCTTGTCGTAGCTGTGTTGTTGTTATTGTTACCACTCTCTTCAGCCATTCCACAACCCGTACTTAAAACCTTCTGAATCTTTTATCTTCCTCCTTTAGCCTCCAGTAATCTGTTATTTTACCACTGCTGCGAAATTAATCTCCCTGAGGCCCACATCTGATCTATGCCATTTGTGATCAGAGACCTCAGTTCAAACTTTCAATCACTCAGCATAAAATCTCCTGATCAGTAATACTTTTGTGCATTTTTGATCCCACTTCTTCGCCTTCCTAAGAACCATGTTTCATACATTTCTCAGCATTTTTTCTACATCTTCGATCTCTCACTTTCCCCTGGCTCTGGCAGCTCAGCCTACTGACCCCCAAATCAAGTCTCTCCTTCCTACCTTGGCAAATTTCCTCTCAATAGTTCTTCATTACCTCAGGAAATAAAGTTCTAACCCCTAAAAAGCCTTTGCAAAAATACTGAATTATCTGGCTGCAAAGTTCTTGTCCCCATTGAGCTGCCATCCTATTCTGCTTCTTCCTTTATCATCAAATTCTTTAAAACATGTAAAATCATCACATTGACCTAGTCATGAAAACTAAAAATGTTAGCCATTCTTGCTTCCTGGTACTTTCTCATGTTTATCCAGAGAGTTACCAAATCTGCTGATTCTCCCACCTGGCTGAATCCCATCTTTTCTTCCTATCCTTCTGTCATGCCCCTGCTTGAATCCTAGTTACTGTGATTGCAGTGTCCTCCTGATTGTTCTCGCTGTCAAGGATTTCCCCATATTCCGAGTCAGGTTACCTTTGCTGCTGCAAAGATATTCCTAAGAAACAAATCTAATTGCATCCTGATCACGTACCTTCTCGATCAGGCCGACCCCCCCATTCTACCCAAAGTACTCTTGATCTATTTTACCAGGTTCCACTCATTATTTTTTTCCCCAAAGCAAGTATCTTCTGGCATACTCTATAATTTATTTGGTTTCAGTGTTTGCTGTCTGCCCTTCACCCTACCTCTGCATGTGAGCTCTATGAGTTGGTATTTTTATTTGTTTTGTTTACCGTCATAGCCTAAGCATCTGGTACAGAGTGGGCATACAATACATTTTGGTTGAATGTGATAATACCAGTTTCCCATTTTCAAATTTTCCTTGTCCCTCTGCTCAGAGGATGAACCCCAAATGCCAATTCATTTCAAGAGCTTACATGATCTGGTTCCAGACCCTCCAACCCCTGTCTCTCTCCACTAGTGCTTCATCTCACCTAACGTCACTGAGGCTCACAGTTGACTGAGTTCCTTGAAGTCCCTAGATGTTCCATGCCTTCAGCCCTCTCTATTCCTGTTGGGTCTGTTTCTCCTCCCAGGGATCCGCTTCTCCCTCTTCCCCTTGCCAGGAGAACAGCCCCTTCTCTTTCAAAACTTAAGCCCAAAGTGACCTCCCTCGAGGTCTTCTCCAATGCTGTGAAGCAGAATTAGTTGCTCTCTCCTCTTCACTTACATTGAGTTTTATATTGTAGCTCTGTTGTGGTATGTTCTTACACACTGATCTCTCTGTCTCCTCCTTGGGACTCTGTGCTCAAGGCCAGTTTTCCTGTGTGTCTTCCCCAGAAATGATCATAGTATCTGGCAGAGATTTAAGTGGCCACTTAATCAAATGATTGAAAAGAGGAGCTCCCAGTGCACTGAACCAGGTAGTAAAGGTTTAAGTGCCCTGTTCATTGCAGCATGTCCAAATCATCACTGCCCTCACCCCTAAACCTGTGTCCTCGCCTGTCTTCCTTATCTCTATGAATGAAGGGTACCACTCTGCTGACCTGAATCTTGGAATTGCCAATGATCTGCCTCCAGTCCTTCTGGTCACTCAATCAGTCACTAAGTTCTTTTGACTTTACTTCTGACGTGTCTCTCAATTCCATCTACTTTCTTTCAGTCCTGCTGTGGGGAGCTCTTACTAGCTTATCACATCTGTCACCAATACAACTGCCACAGCACACACTCAGAATTCCATATGTATTTAATGAATGGATCTCCTGAGTTAAAACTATGTTCAGACCACAACAAGCTGACTATCATTTTTATATGGTCATTGGCAGGTTGAACTTGCAAGGAATGCATAGGTTGCAGAAGTCTGGATGAATTTTTTGAGGGAACAAAGTGGTTTGGGATTTGCCATGGCTTCAGATATCATTTTGCTTTCTGGGAAGTTGAATTCCTTCCATGCTCTCAATTTTGCCAAAGAGCTTAGTTTCTCTGATTATTCCTTTCTTAAAAATTCAAGTTGGGGTATTGGAATCTGTAAATATGGAAAAGAGTTTGTTTTATTTCATGTGGTAAAAAGAGGTTGGGATGATTGTGGCCTTTAAGGAAGGGTCCACTAGGCATTATGAGATTGAAAGTTGAATATGCTCAAGTGTTCTATTATTGGGATTAGCATAGATTTTCCCTAAAGATACCCCCAGCTCTCAATTTCTAAGAATTTTTTTTTTAAGCAAGACTCCAGGAAAAGAAAAACTAGTGGAATTAAGACAATTGTAAATTCTAATGGAAGTGTGAGTGACTCCAAAATCGATCAGTAATCCTAAAGTACAGTCACTTGCTTAACAGATTTCAGTGCTGCTGAAGGTCTAGGTAAAGCCAGGTAGTAGGAAGTAGACAGCAGTGGGTATTGGAGACGTTGGCTTTGGAATAGACAGTTGATAAATGTTTTCTCCCTTCTTTTTTCTCAGTAGACAGTGCTGTAGTGATTGCGTCTGCCAAGTCTTATTTGAGAAATTGCCGGACCAGTAGTTACACTGACTCTCATTTGAATCTTCTGGTGGCCTCTCCCTGTTTTGGGCGGTAGTCCCTGACTTGTCCAGAGAGCTCTCCTCCTCTTTCTCTTCCTCCTCCAGCCTAAATAGAAGTTGAGCAAATTTGGTTGGGATGTTTTGAATCTCTAGGGGTTGGCCAACTGTCCTCAGCCTTCAGAACACACTGGTGTGACTTCCATTCCAAAAGGCAAAGAGAAACTCTAGTCACGTGGTTTCTGTTATCTGTAACCATGGAAAACGTTGGCCATCTGTGAGGCTCCCATTTTAACACTTTTTTTCTCTCTTTGTTTTCATCTCTTTCTTGGAAATAACAAGCTGAGGAAGTGGAGAGGCTGGCGGCGATGCGTTCTGACTCCCTCGTCCCAGGCACCCACACCCCACCCATCCGCAGGAGAAGTAAGTTTGCCAACCTGGGAAGGATTTTCAAGCCTTGGAAATGGAGGAAGAAGAAAAGCGAAAAGTTCAAACACACGTCAGCAGGTAAGATGATTTGTTCTTTCATTTCCCATTTGGTGTTTGTTGCCTTCAACTCTATTATCTTAACAGAATTTAATTGCAATAGGCTGTTTGAACCAAAGGAGAAAAAATATCAAGCCTTGGAATGGCTCTTGTCTTTAAAATTTTTTCAGTATGATCAAGAATGACTTTTATATCCTATGTGTTTTCTCCTATCTCATGATTTTTTGTTTGTTTTTAAACTAAAGAACCACCCTTTTAATTTGATCTACGAATAATCTGAATTTAGACCTCTGCCTTTTCTATAATTGAATGCTTTCATTCTGGCGTTGATGATGCGTTTATTATATTCATTGTTATTTTCACTATTCCAGTAAAAGTGAACACATAGCAGAAAACAAGTTATATGGTTACTGGCAGATAAGAATAGGTTATTTCATGGAGGAAAAACCTTGAATAAGTGATTCTTGGACATAGCAGGAAAACAAAGAATACAAATGAATCATTGTAGTGGCAAAGATAACTGTACGGTTTGTGGCTCAATGGACAGCAAAGAAATGTGGGGGAAATCAGCACAGCTGAGGGGTTAAGAGCACAGATCCTGGAGCCACACTTCCTGGATTTGAATCCCAAATCTGATACTTGCTGGTTATATGATCTTGCTCAGTTTATTAATGCTGTGCCTCAGCTTCCTCGTCTGTAAAATAGAAGTAAGAATAATACCTTACATGAGTTAATATTTGTGGAGAGTTTGTATGGCATCTTAGGTGGATATTTTTTAAATAAGTAAGGGTGTGCAGAGGGAAATGTGCTACAGGGAAAGACACAGAGTTTTGACTTCACCCCATTGGGTCTGTGATCAGACAGTGGAAGAGCTATACAGATTCCCTTTGGTTTTGGTCTGTTTGGGCTGCCATAACAAAATACTGTAGACTGGGTGGCTTAAACAACAGAAATGTGTTTCTCACAGTTCTGGAGGCTGGAAGTCCTAGATCAAGTTGCTGACAAGATAGGTTTTCTTCTGAGGCCTCTTCTCTTGGCTTGTAGGCGGCAGCCATCTTGCTGTACACTCACATCACCTCTTCATTTTTGTGTGCACAGAGAGAGCATGTACGTAAGCGAGTGTGAGCAGACTGTTGAGAGTCTCTCCTTATAAAGACACTAATTCCATCATGAGTGCCCTACCTGCATGACCTCATCTAATCCTAATCACCTCCCAAAGTCCCCTTTCTCCAAATACCAGCACATGGGGAGTGAGGGTTGCAACATATGAATTTGGGAGGGACACAACTAAGTCCATGGCACTTTGTTTTGATTTTTCTAATCACGTGTCCAGTCATTGCCAGGGCTACCCCAAGGTTTTCATTTCCTTCTTCCCTCTACATCCTCAAAAACTCAACCTGCCTTCTCGCCTGCTCAGAATCATCACCTCTTCCATTTCTTGGGTTTCCTGCCTCTTTGCCTCACCCCTAAACTAACCTTGAAATAGGAGATGTGCTTCTTGTACCTGAATATCAGTCCACAGATCTGAGAATCTTAATGCTAATCACTTTTGGGAAAGAAAGAGAATAACATAGAAAATCTGCAGAGTCTTGAAATCTTAATTCTCATGATAGCCATGTTTTCTGACTCTGTTTCTTAGATGGAAGCCCCACCATCCTGATGTTATATTTGTTAATTCCTGAGATAAGAATGAATCTCTGAATTTCATAAATTTCTAAATCATTACCCATATAAGTCCCACCACTCTGACTCTGCATTCTCCACTCTCTCAGTCATCGTGCTGGTTCCTTAAGGTGTCGCAAAACCTGTAGGTCATTTGTGCATCCTTAAAAACAACTGAGTGATTTACAAGTGAGCAAAACTCCAAATGTGTATCCTCCACTGAGACAGAAAAGGGTACTTAGGTCATTGTCTCAGAGAGAAGAAATCTAAGTGAAATATATTCTTTAAGCAAAGTAAGATGTAAGACACTGAAACAAGAAAGAAAATGGGAGTGTTTTGTAAGCATTGAAAAAAATATATATATATAAAACAAAGATGCCATGAGGTCTCTTCCTGACTTTGCTAAGCAAAATAGTTTGTACACACATTTCGGTAATTGTCATTTGTCACCATGAATCTCTGAATGATGGAGTGATGGATGCATTTCCTCCTGGCAAGTCAAGGGCTTTGTTTAGTTCATTTGACAAGGCCACAAGGCAAAGCCCTGAGGCTTCTCACATGACCGATTATGCCAACGTCTTCAAGACATTGGAAAACATATCACCTGATAGGTGCAGATGCAATGGCATCAGATTACTCATGAATTATTAAACGTCTTCAAAAATTTTGTTTTAAGCTCATATGGGAGAAAGAATGGAAACATGTGACAAGCAGAGTTGCTAACCTTAAATCATTCTTGTCATTAATGATCATAGCAAGTTCTTGTGACCTCTGTGGCCAGATTGATTAACGTGGCAGCTGAATGTGATATTTGTATGCAGTTTTGTTTTGTTTTCTTAGAGACATTCCACTCCTGAATTAGAGAAAGTAGAGAATACACTACAGTATATCTTTATATCATGATAGATGGATGGGTGCATGATGTAACTAAAGGTATGCTAGTTTTAAAAAAGTTGGCCAGGCACAGTAGCTCACTCTTGCAATCGCAACATTTTGGGCAGCCCAGGTAAGAGGATCCCTTGAGCCCAGGAGTTAAAAACCAGCCTGGGCAACATAGTGAGACCTCATCTCTACAAAACATAAAATTAACATGGGGACACATGTCTGTAGTCCCAGGTACTCAGGAAGCTGAGGTGAGAGGATTGCTTGAACCCAGGAGTTTAAGACTTCAGTGAGCTGTGATCGTGCCACTGTACTCCAGCTTGGGTGACCAGCTGAGACCCAATCTCACACATATGCAAAGCAAACTTTTCCATGTGTGTATAAGAGTCATATCTAAGTAAATATACATGAGAATTGGTTGATTGAGGGAATGTTCATTGGTTAGCCAATTTTAGCTAGTATACCTATCTTTGTCTTGTATGTATGTGTTGTTAAAGGAAAAGTTATTCATTGACACTTGTTGAAGATAAGGCAGTCTTTATTCAACACCACTGAAAGAAGGATAGGGACCACTGCAATAGGGTCTTGCAGTGGGAGAAATGGTCAGTACTTAACTCTGATACAGCATGGGCAAGTGGGAATTTACAACCAAGGAGCAGAGTGAGGGTCCCTAGGTGGAAAATTACTAAAAGGAAACATCAGGAGTAAGGGAGATTCTGGCTAAGCCAATCTAATAGGATTCTTGCTGAAGACAGGCCAGGGTGATCAGATATCACCTGAGAGATGGTGGGGACTGAGGAACCTAATGATTAGATAATGAGAATTATCTGATATTGAGGATGGGGAGATTCTGGTTAAACTGACTTACCAGGATCCTTGCTAAAATTGGACAATGGAAAGAAGAACATGGAAGGCCAAAGTCAGGCTCAGTTGAAAAGGAGTTCAGTGTGGGGGAAGGGAGAACGAAGAGAAGTTGGTTAATGAGTGCAAAACTACAGTTAGATAGAAGGAATAAAGTATAATATTTGATAATAGCGTAGACTATAGTTAAGAATTTTTTATACATTTCAAATAGCTAGAAAAGAAGAATTGGAATGTTCCAACAAAGAAAAGATAACTGTTTGAGATGATGGATATTCCCAATTACCCTGATTTGATCACTACACATTGTATACATGCATCAAAATATCACATGTACCCCCAAAATATATACAACTATTGTGTATTAATTTTTAAAAAAAGGAAAAAGGGGTTCAGGGGAGGCTGAGTAGAGCTTGGTTAATGAGAAAATCTTGCTCAGTCTATATCATATCCTTTCATATGTACAATATTATCCACCATTTTAAAAAGAAAGAATAAGTCCATATATTCATATTATTTATTTGTATTTAAAATTATATCCCTCTTTGAACACACAAAAAGACATCAATACAATGTTTACTTTGCTTGTTATTGTTTACAGACTGGGTTACATTTATAATTTGCCATGATTAGGTATACTGTGGTTTAACTGTAACTTGTTACAGGGGCTTATGTGTCTCTTTGTAATTAAATTTCTGGGTGTACCTTTATACAAGGAATAAATTACAATATTTGATAGTAGATAGTGTACCTTATACAAGGGGACACTCAGAAATTTTATTTACCAGTTGTATAGCAATAAGAAAACTATATTGGAAAATTATGATTTCAACGTTTCCCTCAATTTTGACATCAACGATTACATGGATGTTTTGGACGTAGACCTCCACTTCGAATGCTACTCTTACATCCTTCCTGTTCTAAGCTGAAGGCTGCCATCCTTAAAAGGCCCTGAGCATTAAGACCCAGGGGCTGAGCTCCAGATGGTGGTGAAAGCACTATTGAGACACGGAGTAGCTCTCAGCAGAAGTCCTGCATCACAGGATGGCAGGAGGAAAACAGGAATGGATGGAACATAAAATAATGGGTCCTCAGGGAAGACGATCCTCACATGCCTTTCAGTCTGCCCTCCGAGGCCCTGCCCAGGGCTTGTGAACCTATGAGCCTGATACATTCAGCTTCTTATGTGAATCTGCAATGGGATCCACAATGCATCTCCACACCTGCCCCAGGAATGAAGACAGATGATAACATCCCCTCTGAAATAGAACAGGCAGTGCCTCCCCAAATAGTCAACTGCAGCGATCTTATCCAAATTCCTTGAAAATGAGGACTGTATTTATAGAAAAGTAGAACTGGCAGGCAGAAACTGTGAAGACACCACCGAGTTATGCTTTTATTTCCTCTTGACAGAAAATCATAAGCTGCAGGGGTTGGCCGTGGAAATCTACAATGTGTCAGAATTCCCTTTGTGCTTCTAAGATTTTCTGCACACCTAGGGTCTTGGTTGTTGGTGGGGAGAAAAAAACATGAAAAACTTTTACTGAGTGTCCACCACATGCCGGAATGTCACCTGGCTCTGGGTATATAGCCATGAGCCAAACCAGACCTAGTCAGTGACCTCCTGGCATGCATGATATAATGGAGAAACAGCTGGTCCAATGTTGAAATTATAAAAATAAAGGTAAAGTCTCACCTGTGATAAGGGCAATGAAGGAAAGGTACTTGGGAGAAGGAGAGGGGGGACTTCACTTAGTCTTGAGAGGTCAGGGAAACTTTCCTAAGGAAGAGAGGTTTGGGCTAGAGTCTGAGGAAAGTGTAGAAATGTAGAAAATGAGCAGCAGAAAGAGCTTGTGCAAAGGCCCTGTGGTAGAAGAGGAGAGGTGAGCCGTCTAGGAGAGCGAGAAAGACCAGTGGCTGGAGAATGGAGAGCTGAGTGTCGTGCGGGTTGAGGCTGGAGAGGTAACCAAAGACCAGCTCCCCACTGATTCTGCCTCGTTTAGAGCAAATTCAGGAGTGTGAGTAGCTGCAGACAGACCAGTGGGAGGCATTATGCAGATGATAGTAGCCTGAACTAATGTCTGGTGGTAGAAAAGGATGGATTTGGGAGATTTTATAAGGAACAAATGACTTAGTAATGGGTCAAACATGAGAAGGAGAGATAGAAGCAGTGTTGCCTTTGGCATGGAATGTTCCATTTTGACATTTGGGGGCAATATTATTTAGTCTTAAAAAAGAAGGAAATCCTACCATTTGTGACAAAATGGGTGAACCTGGAGGGCACCCTGCCAAGTGAAACATACCGGGTACAGATGGACAAATGTGGCATAAGCCCACTTCCATGAGGTATCTGAAAAGTCAAGTAGAAGGGTGGTTGCCAGGGGAGGGGGAAATGGGAAGTTGTTTCTTAATGGCCATAAAAGCTCAGTTATGCAAGATGAATAAGTTCTAGAGATCTACTGTATAATACAGTGCCTCTAATTAACAATCCAGTATTGTGCACTTAAAAATTTAAGATGGTAGATTTTATGTTAAATGTTCTTATCACACACACACACACACACACACACACACACACACAAAACCCACAGAGGAACACAAGGGAACTTTTGAAGGTGATGGATGTGTTTATTACCTTGATTGTGGTGATGATATCATGGTTGTATGCATAGGTCCAAACTCATCTACTTGTATATTTACATATGCAGTTTGCACACAGTTATACCTCAATAAAGTTGACAATTTTTAAAATAAAAAAATGGTTTTAAAGTGTAAAGTTTGACACCCTAATGTTGGTTTATGGTGGTGGCTTTATCTGAGATGAGTACTTTGGAAGAGTGACAGGTTTGGGGGTATGATTCCAATTTTAGGTGTGTAGATATGTGTTTGAGTCAACTTTGTGATATCCAGAGTTGGCAGTTGAATATGTGGAATGAAAAAGAGAGGTCTGGGCTGGCTATGTAAATTTCAGGTCGTTTGCATATATATAATAATTAGAGTGATGACTAGATGTAAGATTGGCTAGGAAACAAGAACAAAATGGAAAGAAGAGGGCCAAGGACAGTCTTCTAGATGAGGGAAGATTATTGTCCCTAAGACTAGATAGAGGAGGAGGAGCCTGTAAAGGAGATAGAGAGGCAGTGGCCAGAGAGGTAGGAGGAAAACCAGAAGCCTAAGATGTGGTGGACACCAAGAACAGAAGGCATCCAGGAGGCTACAGTTAACCGTGTTTAATACCATGAAGTCAAGTGGAAGAAGTACAGAAAAATGTCCATTGACACTAGTGGCTCCACTCAACTAGAGATCATTGGTGACTTAGCAAGAGCTGCCTGGATGGATTGTTTGGGGCAGATGTCAGATTAGTGTAGAGTGAGAAGTTGGTAGGAGCTGGGGTAAGATGGGGTTAAATTTTTGAGAAGTTTAGCAGCTAAGTGGGTAAGAGATAGGACAAGATGGGTGATGGAGGAAATCTATGTGTGTCTATAGGGGGTTGTGTGTGTGTCTTCTGATTTGTCACCATTGTTTTATGATGCACGAGAGATCAATAGGAAAAGCAAATGTGAAAGAGGCAGTAGAAGGAGTTAGAAAATATGAGACAGAAGAGATAGGGGAAGGGTGCTGAGAAGTGAGGAGTAGGTGGGTTACAAGGCACAGAAAGAAGGGCTAGTATCAGAAAAGGAATGAACTCTACTGCAATCAGAGGGAAGCTGCAGCAGTAGACAGAATAATACATTTGGTGATCTCTTCCAATGGTGACTGAGTTTGTCTAGGTAATAAGCGAGGTTATCTCCTAACAGGGAGAGGAGGAGAAGAACGTACAGGGTGAAGTCCATTCCAGATTGATGATTATGACTCTACATGGTACTGGTGACTTTTTTCATTGGCTTTTGGCTGTCCTGGTACAGCTCATAGTTGGGTCCATCCAGAACTGGAGTTTTGCCAGATGAGTAGAAAGAAAAGGAGGACAAGGGAGATTGGGTTAGTTTCCTAAGCTGCTATAACAAATTACTATAAACTTGGTGGCTTAAAACAACAGAGCTTCTCCTGCAGTTCCAGAAATCTGAAGTCAAGGTGTTGGCAGGGTGGGTTCCTTCTGGAGACTCTGAGGGAGAATCTGTTCATGCCTCTCTCCTCCCTGCCAGTGGCCACTGGCAATCCTTGGTGTTCCTTGGCTGGCAGCTGTATAATTTGAATCTCTGCCAGCACCTTCACATGGCATCTCTCTGTGTCTCAAGTCTCTCTCTTTCTCCTTTTCTCTTATAAGGGTACCAGACATTTGATTTAGGGACCACCTATATATCCAGGATAATCTATTTCAGATATCCTTCAATTTGTTGTATCTGCAAAGACCTTATTTCCAAATAAGATCACATTCATGGGAACCAAGGATTGGGACTTGGATGTATCTTTTAGGGCACACCGTTTGGCAGGGGACCCACTGCAGTACTGAATTTTAGATAGGAAAGGAAAGGTCCAGGGGGTTCAGAGGAATTAGAAAAATCAATAAATATTAAGTTCCAAAGAGGTCAAAGAAGTTTAAATTGGTCAGTGGGAACAATTGCAGAAGCAATACAGAAGATCATGAGCTTATGAGTAAACAGCTGCATTCTTGAATTAGTGGTTTTTAAGGTGATACAGTTATGGAGACAAGATACAAACTCAAACCATGGGAGTGGACAGCTGAGGTGGAGGAATAAGTTAGGAAACTGGAAATTGCCTTATTCAAAACACGGTAAATGATCCTACTTACTAGTAGACTAACAACTATATATCTTATTTGCTGAGTTTTGTGCTGACTTAATTTGCCATTTTCAATCGAGGAAAAAAAGGAAATTTCCTCTTTGGTTTTTGCATTAAACTAATTTTGAACCGATATTTTCTGGGAAAAATTTTGTTTTTCCTTTTCCAAATTGAGATGTTTTGGCCCATCATATTTTTAAGCAATAAAGTACTGCAGTTCAATTGATTCATAGAAAATCAAAACCAAAATTTGCTTTTGAATGTTTCGCTCCAGCTATTAGGAGACCCACCTAATATAGGTAAAGTAGTACGATAATCAGGCAGCAGCTTCAGATACAAATAATTGATTGCTTGTTCATCTTCCATGCAGTTGGGAACCTGTGAAACATAGCCTTAGTCTGCTTCTGTCAGCTTCACGTAATTGATGATAATGATGAAGGGCTGGGCCGGAAATATGTTGGGAACTCTCCTGATACTCATGACAGCATCCAGAAACAGTCTCCTTGCTTTTGCCCTGTATTTTATTTGCAACAGAAGACTGATGTAATAGTATGTATGCACAGGAAAGTCTCAGGTACTCAGGTGAGCATAGATCTCCAGTCCTCTCCCTAAGACCCCTCTGCCTAATTGTCATTCTGCTATAGGTTCCACTTATCCTGAAATCCCCCAATCAAACAAGGACCAGCCCTTAACCCTGGGCTGTTAGCCAACCACTTTGCCTAGTTTCCCGGCTTCCCCTTTCCCACAGGGCTAGATTCTGCTTCCTTTATGTCTTCCATCAATTCACCCAGAGTTGCTTATGACTTTAACAACCGCTATGTCCCAGGAATCACTTCCATGGAAGCCCATGTTTCTAGAATTATTCTTCTTTAAATAAAACTCCTTGGATAGTCAAGGCAGTCTACACTGGATTCTGCCTTTGGACCTGATGGTGATAGGCTTCTGGGCTGTTCTGGAAGAGTCTGTCCCTGGTGTCCAAGATGGTTGCCTTCCATGCTAGCCCCAGATTTCTCATTCCTCTATCAGGAAACCCTAGCATGCCGTGTCATTGACAGAGTACATTTGCAATTCTTGGAGTAGAGAAATAAACCCTTAGTTACATCACATTTTGTCTTGACATCTTTGTAGTGTGGGATGGAAAATTATTGTTGGTAAAGGGAAACATGGCCTCTTATCCAGCATAAGACTAGCTATGTCCACCATGAAGACTCTATGGCCCATCACTGGCATAGCTCTTGAGCTGGAAGCTTAAAGCAAAGAGACAAAATTGATAGGTTGAAAAAATGGATGATTTTGAGTAGGCTCTTACGTGCTTGAAAGATGGAGGGTTACAGGCCTTGCACTCTAACTTAAGTGCTCCCTTGGTGTTCCTATTTCTCATTCTAACAGAGTAATATAGTCTACTTGTTCAGAATCTAGGCTGTTGGACTTCTATAAACTATAGGAAATTCATAAAGGATACCAGCTTACCATATTGAATGTATTTATGTGCCAGATGCTGCCATTGTTCATAAGAAGTCCATACCATTGCAACAGTGAGGACGGACATGGCCCCTACCTCCCAAAGGTTATGTCTTAAAGGGAAAACAGACAATAAAGCCAGCAATTACAATAAAGCAGAAGTGAAGTGATAAGAGATGCACAGGGGCTTTGAGAGCTTGAAGGAGACAAGCCCAACTGAGTGGCAAGTTACTGGGAAAGGTTTGCTAGAGAAAGGGATGTTTAACCAAGGGGTTAGCAATGCATGTGAGGAAATCTCTCCTGGTGGGCAGAACAGAATGTAGGAGAGCCAGGGAAGAGAGGAGAGGTTAACAGTCTACAGCTTAAAAAGAAATTATGTCCAGTCACGGTGACTCATGCCTGTAATCCCAGCACTTTGGGAGGCCAAAGCGGGAGAATTACTTGAGCCCAGGAGTTTGAGACCAGCCTTGGCAACACAGAAAGAGCCCATTACCACAAAAAAAAAAAAATTAAAAATTAGCTGAGTGTGATGGCGCATGCCTGTAGTCCCAGCTGCTGGGGAGGCTAAGGTGGGAGGATCACATGAGCCCAGGAGATCAAGGCTGCAGTGAGTCATGTTTGCACTACTGTACTCCAGCCTGGGCAATGGAGTGAGACCCTGTCTGAAAAAAAAAAAAAATTATGACTTGAAAAGGATTGTTGGGGGAAGGGACAGAGAGTAGTGAGAGATGAGGCTGAAGACATGGACAAGAATCTGCTCATGAAGGGTCTTATGAGGTATGTTAAGGAGTCTGGGTGTTATCCTAATGCAATAGGAAATTATGAGAGGACTTGCATTTTAGAAAGATTATTCTCTATATTATGGGAAAAGCTTGGAGTGGCACCAAGTGGTGTTTACAAGTTTATAATATAACAACTTCTATAAATATTGTGTTGGTAATGAGAGAAAATTTACTTGTGATAGAATTAAGATGATACCTCATTCCTATCACATCAAATGGAATATTGTGTCCTTATTGATTCTGGTAACAAGAAGACTGGTTAGCAGGTGGTTGATTATAATGTTGGGGAGAGAGGGAGATAGCCTAGACTAAAATAGTGACATTAGGAACTGAAGACTGTGAACAGATCCAAGAGATATTTAGGAGACAGAACGAGCAAGACTTGATTACAGATTGGATGTGGAAGTGGGGAGAAGAATAAAAAACCACTCTTGGATTTCTCACTGAGCAATTAAATGGATGGAGGTATGTTCTGTGCAGGAGATGCACGAGGGGAGAAGAAAAGACACACACACAATATCTTTAAGGGTAAACAAGCTTTATCCCACGTAAATGGCAATGCAGATATAATAAGCAAATGATATAATAAGCAAATGGTATAATAAGCAAATTAATATAATAAATTGCAACGGGAAGGGGAGAAGGGAAAAGATATATATATATATATATATATATATATATATATATATATATATATATATATATATATCTATATATCTATCTATCCACACTTGCCAGACTATGGAGGATTCACCACCAGACCGGGAAGCAACAGCCTGGGCTCCAGAGTCAGCCGCTTGTCTCTGCACAGATGAGGAGACGTCTCATGAAGCTTCAGCGTGGTCTGGGACCCTAGGTCTTTTTGTAACAAGTTGTTTGGCATGAGGCCCAGTCACAAAGGCCCTTTGCGACTGGGCTCAAGGAACGCAAAAAGTCAACTTGATTTTTGTGATTGTCTATTGTTTTTCAATAACTAATATATAGGAATAGATTGAAATACAGATTTCTCCAAAACAGTGCTGGATGAACGCCTCAACTCATCTGTTCCGGGACTTGGTGACCATTGTTTGTGTCCATGTTCAATTGAGTTCAAATTTAATATTTAACTTTTCCTCCACATTGTACCATTGACTAAGTCAGATACACTGAAGAGGAGCAGATTTGTGAGGGGAAAAGATGAATTTATTTGGGGCCATGCCAGCTTTCATGTGCTTCTGAGACATTCAGATGGAGGGCTCCTTGGGTATAGATAACTGGGGTCAGGAGAGGTCTAAGAAATGCAGATTGGAAGTCATCAGCACCTGGATGATCATGGAAGCCCTGGGATGAAAACTCCAAAGAGAGAAAGTAAAGTGTGAAGCAAAGTCGAGGGTACAGTAACACCCTGAGGGCCACCAGCCTGTGAGTTCTGAACAGAGGCAGCAGAGCCTACAGAGAAGACAGATGGCCCACTGGAGTTTGGAGGAAAACCAGGAGGGACTGGTGGTCTCGGTGAACCAGAGGAGAGAGTTTCAGAAAGAAGAGTCCACCCTGGCAGATCTTGACAAGATGGTGTCCGGTGGGCATAGACAACTCATCATTGGTGTCCTTTGGGATTATGACTTTAGGGAAGCCACGTAGCTGGGATTTAGATAGCATGTGGTTGAGGAGTAAATGAGAGGAGAGGAGGTAGTCATCTTCTTTTAAGATGTTTGGTTGAGAGGGAAAATGAGAAATATATAGCAAACAACAAAAGGGGATGTGAGCTTGAGGGGGATGTTTTTTAAGATTGGTTAGATTGTGTCAAGCTGCAAAATTTGCCTTAACATGGCTGTGGCATTCTCAGGGAAATTGAAACATCAGCAAAGTGACTGTTAAGCCAAATAAATATATTTGCACACATTTTTCAGCAATGACAATTCTCGTGACTAGGAAAAGCAAACATGCAAATAATCAGAGCACTAGTTAGCATCTGATTTTAATAAGAAACTATCAAACCAAGTTGAATAGCCTTCAGCATCTGGCCAGATCACATATTCCCTTTGGGTGAATGATTGGAGCATTTCATTTCTTCTTTAAAAAAAAAAAAAAAAGATCCAGCATAGGTAAGCAGGGAATATTTTTAGTTGTGTATTCATCATGACCCACAAAGGGACCATCTAGTGGTTAGAAAGCAAAGCAGACTTAATGGTCCTGTTTTGTTTTTAAAAAATCTCTAACAGGTACAGACTAAAGACTATGGAAATCTGTTACCTTCTAGGGCTGGATAAAAGATGTAATTGTTTCTTCTCAAAGTGAACTTTATCCAGCACTCTCTGCGTGTAAGTCCAGGCTATAAAATCCTTAATAGCATTGACTCTGCTGATATCCTCTTGTCTTCTAGTGTTGAGCAGAGCATCTGGCACAGAATAGGTACCGGATAAGTACATGTTGAACTGAAAGTCAGTAAGACAGCCAGCCAGATATTAATATATTTTTAAGCTTCTCTGTTTACTAAGATCTGAAAGAGGAGAGGAGGTAGGGTACTTATGGATGCGTAAGATGGAAGGTCCCCGAGTTTGAAGAATTTGCCATCATTCATGATTGTTTTCCAGTTTTTCATAGTTGTGCACAGGTTAGGCTAAATGACTGCGTGTGTTAAAAGCTCAGGTTGTTTGGACAGCATTATTGTTTGGGTTATCTATTGCTGTGTTACAAAACCCCCTAAAACATAATGGCTTAAAAACAGCAACCTCTGTATTATCTCTTATGGCTTGGGGATTGACTGGACTCAGTGAGATTGTTCTTCTGCTGGTCTCTCTTGGGGTCTGTCATGCATTTTCAGGTGGATTGCATTGGAGTCATCTGGAGGCTCCCTAAGGTGCGAGGAAAGCTGGGCCCCTTTCCCTGTTTATGTTGTCTCAGGGCTTTTCCATGGGGTTTCTTCCTATGGTCTCTCCAGCAGGGAGCTGAGGGCCCCTAAAAGCACAAAATAAGATGCTTCCATGCCTTTTAAAGGCTTAGGTACAACATTGGCTTAGTATTACAGTCACATTATTCTAATGGTTAAAGCAAGCCATGGGACCAGCCCAGATTCATTGTTGGGTGGACTAAACAAGGGTGTGGATGCCAGAACAAGGTTCATTGGGGCTTGTCTTTGGAAGCCAGCTACTACCATTGTTCAAAGTGTGGCAAGACAACAGCTGCTCCTTGTTTCCTTCTTCCCAGGTAGAATGTGCTTCAACAATGTTACACTGATGACAACAGCAGGAGCAATCTTCTGTTGTGCTCTGCTCATATTACTATGTCGTATGAAATATACTTGACCCTTTCCTTGCCTTATGGACTTGAATCTTGCATCAGACCCATATAGTATTATTAACTTCACTTGACAGGTGAGGAAACTGAAGCTTAGGGAGACTCAATAATTGCCAGTTAGAAATAACAGAGCTGGAATTTGAACTTAGCCTGCAGTCTTCTCAAATATATCGCATTTCAGATCCATGAGGGTGGAAATCGATAATTCAGATGCTTTAAAACATAATTCTTCTACACATAACAGTGATATTACAAGATGCTTTCCTTTTTTGACGTATCTCTATAAAGAAATGTGAAGGAAGAGAAGCTCATCAATAAAAACTGACACTGGAAGCCATGATACGAGTCTTTATTGAAAGTCTTTAAAGAGGAAAGTCAAGGTGTAGCATACTCGTCTTTGTATGAACCCCACAGTATCTAGTTCAATGCCATGTACTTGGAGGATGCACTCTATTTGTTGAATAGCTAAGAAAGAGTAAATTGATACTGGCATGAAACAAACCTTCAGAATCATTCCATTTATGTTTTCAATATAACTATCTCTTTCTGCTGTATGATATATAGGAACAAAATATGCATTGATTAGGTAATCAGACAGTAATCACACAGGCCTCAGTAGTTGCTAGATTTGGGGCTAGATAGGCACAGAAATATTTCTATAAAAAGATACAGGCTTTTTATTGTATGATGTATGTGTGGCTACTTACTTCTAAGATAAGGAGTTTTATGGGAGAGGTGGTATAGACTAGTGGTTAGGGGTCAAACTCTGGAGCCTGACTGCTGAGTTATCTTGGCCAAGTTTTTTGTGTTTTCTCTGCCTCAGTTCCTTCATCTTTAACATAGGGATAAAACTGGCACCTTAGGCTAGGCACGGTGGCTCACGCCTATAATCCCATCACTTTGGGAGGCTGAGGCAGGCAGATTACCTGAGGTCAGGAGTTTGAGACCAGCCTGGGCAACACGGTGAAACCCCACCTCTACTAAAACTAGAAAAATTAGCTGAGCATAGTGGCGTGCGCCTGTAGTCCCACCTACTCCGGAGGCTGAGGCATGAGAATTGCTTGAACCTGGGGGACAGAGGTTGCAGTGAGCTAAGATGGCACCACTGCACTCCAGCCTGGGTGACAGAGTGAGACTCCACCTCAAAAACAAACAAAAAACAACAAAAAACTGGCATTCTATAAGTTTAAGGATTCAAAAAGAAGTTAACTGATGGGAAGCTCTTAGAATAGTACTTTGCGCTAAGTTTTATCTATGATTATTTTTTCTTCTATACATGCATTTGAAAAACACAACAGACATCTAAGAGTAAGGAAAGGTTTATTTCCTATTTTCAGTCTGTGGATGGTGTATGGATAACTTCATGATTCTGATAAGCTTTTCTTAGATCTAGGCAGTGTTCATTTCAGTGCTGAGTTTAGGAGCCTGCCTTTAGACACGTTGTACAATTCCACAAAGCTGGAGTTTTGTTCCGTAGTTTCCTGGGTATCAGCAAGTTTCTTCACTAAAGTATTTCCTTTTCTCTGTGAATTTACAATTAAGTGAGCAAACACAATGGCCACTGAGGAAGTGCTTTATCCTGTTTCTCCTTTGCTATGTCACGGGCAGAAATATGCACGATAGAGGAAGAGATGTTCTTGGGAGGGAAGGTGAGCACAGTATCCTTTCGAAAAGCAGAAATTGGTGGCAAGTCAGAAGGCTCGAAAATAGAAGGTACTAAATGGAGCGACCTTCTACTTTACGTTCCAAACCTGGGTATTTCCGAGAGTGAAATGGGGTGCTATAACTACTTAGGCTGAACGATAATCTAAACCAGGCCTGAGCTAAGCAAAGCAGGGAGAATATGGTCACCCTGTACAAAACCACAGAGACAGATGTGCAGGCCCCGAGGCCAGTGCTGTTTTACAAACAGAAAAGAAGCGCCAGTTAACTTTCAAAAGAAAACAGAAGGGATTGCTGGACCCCAGAAACAGAGGAACACTAACATGGCCCTCCACTGTCTACCATCTCAGTTAAATTAATTAATGGAGGTTGAGTATCTTTGCTTCTGTACAGAATTGAATTTCTTTGTTCCCAGTCCTCGCACTGTTTCTGCCACCTCTCTTGCACCTCTTCTGCTGAATGTCTTGTCTGGAAATTCTGTCCCAGTGCCATTTCTTTCACCAATAATTTATTTTCTATTCCTTTAACACTTCTTTTTCTCTCCAAAGTTCTGATGGCTCCCGTCATCAGCTCCCATGCCACCAGGTCTAGTGCCTCTGCCCCACTTCCAGGCCCTCTAGACCTGCATGACACACACGTCTTACCACTGCCTCTCCTTGGACCAGTCCTGGGAGTCATGCCTGACTCTCCTGGAGTACTTCTCTTCATGTTCAACATATTGTTCTTTCTTTCTTCCTCGGCTCTGGTTTTCTTTCCATTCTTTCCCTCTCCTTTTCTTCTTGGAACACTCATCTATTCCACATAAAGCTTAGATGTCTCCTAAGTTCATTTGATTTCCTTCTTCCCAGGTAGAATGTGCTTCAACAATGTCATATCGGTTGACTGCAGCAGGAGCAATCTTCTGTTGTGCTCTGCTCATATTACTATGTATTAATAATATGAAATACACGTGACCCTTTCCATGCCTTATGGACTTGAATCTTGCAACAGACCTATATAGTATTATTAACTTCATTTGACAAGTGAGGAAACTGAAGCTTAGGGAGACTCAATAATTGCCAGTTAGAAATGACCAAGTTGGAATTTGAACTTAGCCTGTAGTCTAAGGCTACAGTGCTGGTGTCTGACTCCATGGTCGCACTGGACTCAGATCTCTGTTGGCAAGTCCAACTTCTGCCCTGAGACCAGCCCTCTGCAGAACTTCAAATAAGTATGTGTACACCAAATGCCTCATTTTCACCCTAGCAGGCTTCCCCTCCAATAGCACCCTGACTCTATGAAATGATTATCATTGCCTTTGAGGACACTTCTGAATTAAGCCTCAATTTCATTTCCTTATCTAGTCGAATTACAGTTGTGTCCTTTCATTTCTTCACTGTCACTTTAATCTAGATATGCATTGGTGTCTTTTGGGTTTCCCCAGAATTCTTTGACCTTTTCCCTTTGACTTTTATTCACTAAAAACTTAATAATTATGTTATTAATATACATTAGCACTACTAGTAACAATGGTAATAGCTAGTGCTTGAGTGCCCACCTGACAAGTGTGAACTAGCTGCAATCTGGCTCTCAGCGCCCCAGCAGTCCTCTGAGGCAGTTACTTAGTTATGCCTAATACCTGTTTGATAGGTGAGGGTAAAGAGGCTTAGGAGGGGCCAGTAACTTGCCCAGGGTCACAGGGCTGGTTAATGATATAGCCCTAGAGGATTGGAATTGCAAGGCTGTCTCACCCCAAAGTCTTCTGGGCTTTACTTGGAAACATCACAGTTACCCATGACTTGAAAACATACAGAGTGAAAAGGTTAAGATGTATGCATATCTGGGTAGGTAAGTTTTAAACATACTTGAATTCAGAAATCTAATCTCATTAAGACAACAGAAACGATTGGAAATAGGACTTGGTGATTTTGGTCACTAATTCTGGATTCCCAAGGCAGAGAAAGATACCTATATGATGTATATGAATTTGCCTGCTTAAAAAAAACAAAACAAAACAGCAGCAACCAAAAAAAAACAAGGTTTTTGTTGGTTGATTGGTTTTGTTGATGGTGATTTCTTTGTTAAGTTGAAGGAGATAGAGAAATAACATTAGGCAATGAATTAATGAGGATTTGGAACTTGTTTGACTAAAACAAATATAAAGTAGCCTTAATAATTAAAAAAAAAAAAGGACTGAATCAAATAGTTCTGGAAGGTCATGTTTAAAGGTCTTTCTTCTTTTTGTTACCCTGAAGGAGAGTTGGGTGAAGGCAATTTGTGAATATAAAACATGTAGAATATTAATGTCATCGCATGAATGAAAGAAAGTTGTGCCGGGTGCAGTGGCTCGTGCCTGTAATCCCAGCACTTTGGGAGGTCGAGGCAAGCAGATCACCTGAGGTCAGGAGTTCGAGACCAGCCTGACCAATATGGTAAAACCCCATCTCTACTAAAAATGCAAAAAATTAGCCAGGCTTGGTGGTGTGCGCCTGTAATCCCAGCTACATGGGAGGCTGAGGCAGGAGAATTGCTTGAACCTGGGAGGCAGAGGTTGCAGTGAGCCAAGATCACGCTACTGCACTCCAGCCTGGGTGACAGAGTGAGACTCCATCTCAAAAAAAAAAGAAAGTTGTACACCAAGAACCCACATTGCGTGGTATTCTGACCTGAGTTAGGAGGATGGGGTGATAACCTCAAATGCCTCTGAGGACTTTTCCTGTCAAATCAAATTAGCACAAAGCTGGGAGAGGTCTGTGTGGAGTAGAAGTCAGAGCGCTAATGATGTTCAGATGCAGATGTAATTTGGCCGTAGAAGACTATTGTAATGTTTGGTCTATTTTGGTCCTCAAATTAACCAAATGGGAGTTTCTAAAATAAAAAATCTCTTCTATGGCATAGCAGCATTTTTAGGTCCTCTAAATAGTGGTTTTGTTCCGTATTGCTGGGGTTTACCTTCTCTGAAAACCTCTGTTAAAATGTAGGAAGCTGCCTGCTACCACTGCATGTCGTTGTGGGGAAAAGGGGCTTCTAAATGCTTCCCAGCATACAGGAAGGAGTTGTTCAATGCTGTAGTTTGAGCCTCATGTTAATTATATTTCCAGATGTTTCTAAGAAGATTATATGAAGCAACTATGAACTGTAATTCAGCAGCATCATTTTATAATAATATGTTTATATGAAAAAAAGGTTATACAATTTATCTGTTGTAGCACAAAACTCTATTTCATCTGTGGACAACTGAAAAGATTCATTAGCAAATCTGTTGTTACAACAAGGATGATCTTTGTTTTCCTGATGAATGGCTGAAACATCACTTGATAGAAGTAGGTCAGATATTTACAAGGATACTCATAATAACGTGCCATTCCCCAGTGCCCATTATCACATCTGTTTCCAGTAGTTCTGAAAAGACTGGGCTCTTGTAATGCTGAATCCTAATCGTGGATACATTAATTAAATGCCTTTAGATCAGTCATTTAACTTGTTTGTCACCAACAGCATGCCTATGGAAGGTCTTTACTGTCATAATTTGGTGTGTAGATTCTGACTAGAAGAAAACTTGAGAATTTTTAAAAAATATAAATAATTGATATTAAAGTTTGAAAGCAGAGACAAAAATGCACCCTTAATTCTGACAGTCTTATACATTATGATCATTTATACATACTTGCTTTCATTTTTTCATAATAATTCCACATAGTTGAAATCAAAATATAGATCTAATTTTACCTCTCTCTTTTTTGTTTTTTAAAGTTGACCTTATGTCATAGTAGAAACTCTAGCTCACTGCTGAGTAGTCACCCTCCTAATTCTAAAACATTCCCTTGGTTGTATGCCATTATAAATAACCTTGCCACAAACATGTATGTGTTTCTTTTCTTTATTTTTTCTTTATGCATTTCTCCTTTATTTGTACTTTTTTTCTTTGGGATAGAGATCTGGTTCTGGGGTGCATTGGGTGTGAATAGTTTTATGGTTTTATGGGCCCTTGCTTTCCAAAAAGGTTGTAACAATTTACACCTCCTGTGATATGGAGAGTAATGACTTCACACTCAGCAGGGCTGGAAGATGGAGATGTATAATGGTGTGAAGTTAAGGTGGTTAGTGAGGAATCAAGTAGGGAAGTAGGATGTTCCGGCATTAGACAGTCTGTCCAGAGTGGCCTCAGGGAAGCCGTGATCATTGGCCTTTATTTAGACTGATTTCGTCTTTTGTAGTTTATTATACTCCTGCTGTGAATGTTGCAAAGGACCAATCCACCGTAGTCCCACATTTTCCCTATCAGAATAACTGAAGTTTAGTATGTGAGAACTTTATTTAGTAAGAGCCAGCTGGAAGATCTCCGGATCATAAACAAGCAGAAACCAGAAAAGACATAATATTTACAAATGGTATCTGATAACAGGATTAACAAAAAAAAAAGAAAATACTTGAGGAAAATAGTTGAATGTTTCTTAGGTAGTTCCCTAAGATGAATTATATGAAAATTGGAATTCCTTCAACCAATCATTCCATGAATTTTTTTTTTTTTTTTTTTTTTTTTTTTTTGAGACAGAGTCTCACTCTGTCACCCAGGCTGGAGTGCAGTGGTACAATCTTGGCTCACTGCAGTCTCCACCTCTTGGGTCCAAGTGATTCTTCTGCCTTAGCCTCCCAAGTAACTGAGACTACAGGTGCATGCCACCACGCCTGGCCAATTTTTGTATTTTTAGGAGAGAAGGGGTTTCACCATGTTGTCCAGGCTGATCTCGAACTCCTGACCTTGTGATCTGCCCGCTTCAGCCTCCCGAAGTTCTGGGATTACTGGCATGAGCCACCACGCCTGACCCATTCTATGAATTTTTATTGACAAAGAGATCTGGGACCACAAGTGGCCAGGTGTTTCTGTGCCAGCAAGCTTGAGACAAGAGGAATAAACCATTGAGAGAAGTGACATAGATGGGACCAGATGACACACAAGCCCCTTTTTTTCATATTAGGGATTCCAGACTATCCCATAGGCAGTAGGTCACTGTGAAAGGCTTTAAGCAGGGAAGTAGTAGAGTTCATATTTTCTTTTTCTTTTTTTTTTTTTTCTGAGATGGAGTCTTGCCGTGTCACCCAGGCTAGAGTGAAGTGGTGCAATCTCGGCTCACTGCAACCTCAGCCTCCCAGGTTCAAGTGATTCTCCTGCCTCAGCCTCCCGAGTAGCTGGGATTACAGGCGTATGCCACCATGCCTGGCTAATTTTTGTATTTTTGGTAGAGACAAGGTTTCACCATGTTGGTCAGGCTGGTCTCAAACTCCTGATCTCATGATCCACCCGCCTTGGCCTTCCAAAGTGCTGGGATTACAGGCGTGAGCCACTGCACCTAGCCCATATTTTCAATTCAAGACAAATTGTCTGGGCAAAGGATATGAACCAGCAAGTCAAAGAAAAATGCAAATTCCCATAAACATAAAAAAGATCTTACCCTCACTCATATTATAATTAAGGATATACAAATTGAAACTACTGAGATACCATTTGTCACTTATGACTTTGGCAAAGATAAGAAATCGATAACGACACTCTGTCAGCTGGTGTTAAAGTAGACTGGGAAACAGCTACCCATACAGCACTGGTGGAAAGAGGAGTCAGTGCAAGATTTTTGGAATACAATGTGGCAAAAATAATCAAAATTTTAGATGCACTTACCCTTGACCTTGTAATTCATCAACCTGGCAAAGGATAGTAAGACAGGAAGAGCATTCCACATGCAGGAAAAAGAGAGGCTGCAAAGTTTCAGATTTGAGGAAGGCCATGCCCAGAAGAAATGGCAAATTGCCAGGAATTTAACCTACATATATATACTTGCAGAAATATAATAAGAAGGATGTACAAGGTTGTTTGTTACAGAATGTTTATAATCACACACAAAAAAGCTGGAAACAAGGTAAATGCCATCAATGGGGGCTGGTTATACAAATCATGATCTTTCTACACAGTGGAGTACCAGTAAGTCATAGAAAAGTATGAAGAAGACGTCTATCTTCAGATACGGAGAGGACTTTAAGATACACAGTTAATGGGAAAAAGCAAGATGAGGTGGAGAACAGTATGAATATTATGATCCTATTCATTTGAAGGGATAGACTGTATATATCCACCTGTTGATTTCTGAATAATTTTTTCTGCAAAAACATGAAAGAAACATTTGAGTGTGGTGATCATTGGGAAATAGAATTGGGTATTGAGATTGGAATTATTTGAATCATTGTCATATGTATGCGTTGCTTTTATAAAAAGTAATTACAAAAGACATTTTCACCAACTATTAGCCACACATCACCTTTGCCTAATTTAATCTTGGTTTATCAACATATATATTACTTATGTGTCATTCACTCTTCCAAGTTCATCACATATATTAACTCCTATTATCACAAACCCATATGAGATAAGAACTATTCATATAGTCTCATTTTGTGGAAGAAGGAACTGAGACAGAGAGGTTAAGCAACTTGCCCCAAGGTCGCGTGGCTCTTAAAGAACAAATCCAGGATTTGAACTCTAGTAGCCTGGCACCCCAGCCCACTATAGCTTCCCTCAATGATTTTGATTTGCCACCATCGAAACAAGAAGCTGATCCCTTGAGTAAGGTCTTTGTAATGACCCTGGTACTGTTGCTTGTTACTGACTTGAGGTTCTTTTAGTTCAGTCAGTGAGTAGTTGTATTTAGTAAGGGGTTAAAATTGGTTCTGGCACCTGCTCCAAGAAGTGCCTCTTTTCTCCATGCAGAATTTGCTCAGCTTTCATCTGAAGACAACGAGTCCAATACATAAAGGCCACAGGTGCCCCTTGCGGCCGTCCTTCTTTCTCAGTCCTAGTTTTGCTTTCTGAAAGGGAAATACACAGAGGATTTATCCCTTCCAGGCATGCTGAATGTCCAGCATTTGGCCAGGCTATGTTCAAGTCTTCTAGACTCCCAGCCTGAGCTCCCTGAATACCCCTTAACAGAATGCTTTATAGCTCAAGGTCATATGCCAAATGATCTTTCTGCCCTCCGACTCCCTGCAGCAAGCTTGGAAAACAAAATACTGTAAGTCAAGCTAGATCCAAGTCCAGGATAACTAGATTAATACAGCTAAGAATTTTTCTCTTTTCAGTTATGTCATGGAAATGACAATAGGATTTGATCAGAAATACCTTCTTAGCAATGAATTATTTGAAAAAAACAATGCAAGGGAGCATCTTTTTTTTTTTTTTTTCTGGTTGGCTGATGTTACTTAATGGCTCATTGTGCCCCATTGTTTGGCTCAGTTTTCTGAGCAAATTCCTTTGTTCGACAAACACTTACCTAAGATCTCCTTAATGCCAGGTACAAAAAATAGAGAGCTAAATAAGACACAGTCACCCACACTGAGCACACACTAATGGAAGAAATAGAACTGGCAGCCAATAATTACAGGGCTGCAAGATAAGTGATTATGAAGCATATAAAAAGTGCTCTGGAAGCACAAAGTAAGTAATCCTTTAATTGTCTTAATTTAGTCCCAATTGATAATTATTTCCCAGGGAAATGGCCTCAGTCTCCACTGGGAAATACGAATGCCTTGGGTTATTTCAGCCCTTCACCTGTTCATGCATGCATGCAACAAACACGGAACACCTAGCAACACTGGCTCTGGTGGCTGCATAGAGAAAAATGTGATAGAGTTACGTTCATTGGGGTATTCACACCAACATTTGGTCTTCTGCATGTTTTGCAAGCATTCATTTTGTACATACTAAGTGCTAAACCCAGAATTAGGCCCTTGGTTACAAAGATGAAAAAATGCAATTCCTTCCTCTGAGAGACTTGAGTGTGGCCCAGTTGGAGCTGGAGTGGAGATGGCAACAGAGCTCTGAGAAGCAAACAAGACAGAGTGAGGTTCCCTGGGGCTTTTGAAGCTGGTGTTCAAGGTTGGAAAGAGAGAAGGGACATTCCAGATGCAGGAAGAAATGCTGCAAAGTCATAGCGTTAAGGAGAAGCATGTCCAAAAGGAATGATAGAAGGAACTTAAGTGCCAAAAGAGCAGATTAGTTGGAACGCTCTGAGAGGTCAGGGCAGAGGGTCATTGCTTTCAACAATGGTAGTTGAAAGTGATATCACACTCTGGGGACTGCGGTGGGGTGGGGGGAGGGGGGAGGGATAGCATTGGGAGATCCTAATGCTAGATGACGAGTTAGTGGGTGCAGCGCACCAGCATGGCACATGTATACATATGTAACTAACCTGCACAATGTGCACATGTACCCTAAAACTTAAAGTATAATAAAAAAAAAAATAAAGTACAAAAAAAAACACTGAAGTTGGCTTAGGAGGCTTCAGGAACATTAAAAGATGAAATGATGCAAGCAAAAAAAAAAAAAAAAGTGATTGCATGCTTATGTGTCTAAGTGTGGTTTATGCATTCACTTGTTTAATTCTCCCTCTAGCCCAATGAGGTATTATGTACTCCCATCTTGCATTTGTGGAAACTGAAACACAGGGAAGTTTGATAACTTGCCAAGCTCATATCTCAGTGAGTTGATCTGGTTCATTGTACTCCAGGGCCTGCACACCTAACCGTGGCACCACCACAGCTACAGTCCTTGCAGAATGGCCAGGATTTTGAACAGCAGAATTAGGGGAGAGGATATTCAGACACAGCCAGTGGAATAAACAAAGGCACAGATCAGAAGTGTGTTTTGGAAGTTTGATTCAGTTGGATCAGGGGTTATAACAGGCAACTGCTGGGAGATATAAGTTGGGTTTAGACATGGAAAGCAGTAACAGCTACAGAGTTGGGCTTTCATTCCACTGGAGGCTTTTGAGCAAGGAGGTGACATGATCACAGCTGGCCTTTGGGTGACTGACTGGCAGTTAGAGATACAACCAACAGGAACAGGGGGAGCCTGGCCAGGGAGGCTAGTTAGGGGGCTATCGTAGCAGTCTAGGCAAGAGACATTGGAGCCAGCATGAGGTGGTGGCATCCAGAATGAAAGGAAGCCAAGAAATAGAGGCACAGAGGAGGAGAAATAACAAGACTTGCGAGACAAAATATCGGGGTGAGGGAGAAGGAGAAATCAAAGATAGCCTAGAGGTTCTGACCCTGGGTGACTGGGTGCTTTAACAGCCATGGATAAGAGTTGAATTAAGATGAGAAAAGAAGGGGAATCTGCTTATGACAAGGAACACTCATGGCCAAAGAGGATCCAGGGGTCCCCCATCACACAATGAAGGAGAGGTCATCTACTGGGAGTGTAGGACGCCAAGGCTGGATTCTATCATGTCTCAGAAAGGACAGGAACACTCTTAACCCTATGGGGCAGCTGTATCAGTTCCCTAGAGCTGTTTTTTTTGGGGGGAGTGGGTGGGGGCTGTGAGGAAGAATCTGTTCCATGTATCTCCCCTAGCTTCTGGTGGTTTGCTCACCATCTTGGTCATTCCTTGGCTTGTAGAAGCATCACCCTGACCTCTGCCTTCGGCTTCACATGGCATTCTCCCTGTGTGCCTGTCTGTCTCCAAATTTCCCTTTTTTGTAAAGACACCAGTCATATTGGATTAGGGACTTATACTATTCCAACATGACCTTATCTTAATCCAATGGGTGATATCTTCAACAACCCTGTTCCAAATAAGGCTGCATTCTAAACACTAGGGATTAAGACATCAACATGTGAATTTTGGAGGAATGTAGTTCTAACCATAACAGCAGTGAATGAGATGACAGACTATTGCTCTCAAAAGATAGCCAGGTTTCTAGTTTCCTTAGGCATTTTCTGGAGGTTTGCGAGCAGTTCATTATTATCTTAAAAATATTATCCAGAGCTGTGGTCTATCAGCAGCTCATTACCAGACTGGCAGATACATTTAATCAGCAAAAGAGTTGTTCCTGTGATTAGCATCCTCCTGGTTTCCCAGCTCAAGAGTTCTTCTGAGTAATAGTAATCCTTCCCCCAGAGATCATATTCCAGAATAGTTGTATAGCCAGGAGCACATGCCCAGTGGCTAGAGAACTGCTTAAGAGAAAGAACAAGTAAAGGCAAAAACCTGAGCTGTGGGTAACCAGGGCATTCAGTTGCAAATAAAGTCCCACCACATTCAGTTCCTATTAGGAATAGATCTGTGCCCATTTTGCTGTTTGGGGGGGTCTAGCTTTGTCAATAAAATAGTTTACAGTCTTTAACCCAAACTTAATTTTTTTTCTTCTTGGAAAATGAATTTTATCACCTTGTTGAAAAGAAAAAAAGTTTTCCAAGAGCAAATTTTTTTAAGATATTTGATTTTTCCAGATCCACCTTCATCCTCATAAGGCATATAGGCTGTTGTGCCCAAGCAGGATCAGAGAAAAACACATTTGAATCATGATCACGGCTCTTCCTCATGAAGAGGCAATGCCAACTCATGGAGACACAGGCCTTACTGCTTACATGCGATGGCTGGAGGTTTGGGCATCGCAGAGATGGACAGATACCCATGAGTGAATCACAAGGAGCTCTGCCCTGGGTGTTTATAATTCAGATCCAGCCCTTCCCTAAATAGCTCTTAGGTGACATTCCATTTCCATGTGGGCATATTTACATTTACACTCCATTTATGTGATTTGTCAGAGCTTGAGGCTGATAGCTTAAAACCTTTCCCTTCCCTTCCAGTTTTCATTGCCCTCCCAATCTCTATAGCCTTGAAAATGAGCTTTTCTGAGCTTCTCATTAATTTTTCACTCCTCTCGCTACAGGAGACACGCAGATAGACGGCACTGGGATTGCTGGCCAAAGAATGCTTGGCAAGCCACTGCTGCATCCAGCAGTAAGTTTCAGAAACATACCTCAAGGGATTTTGACAAGTAAAATGCCCAGTACCTGCTTGCAATCTAATTATGGGGTTCCCATGAGACCCTGAGAAGGTTGCATTATGTACCAATCTCAGGGTGTGCAGTGATTTGTTCATTCTTTTTTAATTGGATGTTAAATTAAAAGTAGCAGTGTGATATACCAGCAAGATCACCACTCTGGCTATAACTAGCCATATGACCTTGAACAAGTGAGTTCACCTCTTCGAAACTTCTCACTTCATCTTCAAAATATGTGTCCTAGGCTAGACCACCTCCCAAGATTTTATAACATCTAACCTTCCTCTCGTTTTGACAGCCACCGAGCATTCTCTTCTACAAATACAGAGAAACGGCGTGTAACCAGTCTCCCTTGATGTCTGTTTCTCTAGCCATTAACAGGATTTCTGTGTTGGAAGGCTCAAAAATTCACCCATACCCAGTTTTGTATAAGAAACATGCCACATAGGACATGTGTCTTCCACTTAGGGCAACCCTGTCATCCAATGTTGTGACATTGGATGTCTCTGAACTTCACTGCCCCTCCTTTCCACCTGACCCCTGACCCCCACCCAGCACAACTATCCTGACTTAGAAGATTTGAATGCATTTCTTTAGGAGCCTTTAAAAAAGTTATTTCAAGTGCTGGAGTTTAGAATTTTGTAGGACGTGTCTATCCAGAGAGCTCTGTAATAAGCCTAGAGTCTTGTTGAGCATGAACTTATTCAGCTGGCAAAATTAACCCTATTGAAGTTTTTACCCAGCTGGTTTAATTGGAACTGGGGTGTGTAAGGGTCAAAATGGATAAGACTTTTCATTGATTAGTTCATTAACCAACTAAACCAATGGTGCATGTGATTTGCTTCGGCAAAGTCTTCTAAAATGAAATAACCTTCTGAAGGTATAGATGGTCTTCCAAGAACTAATAATTCAAATAACCAGTGAACAAAATAGGATAAAAGCCGGGTTTTGTCACCTTCTGTGGCCTGTATTTGCTGTCTAGAAGTAATTATCTTGGGAATGAACTCATTTGATCAGCAGCCAGGAATGCTGTCTGTGACAAATAAATTCCCTTACATTGTCCTTGAGGATAATGAATGATATCACAAGAAGGAAAATATAAAAAGAAAACCTGGTAGAAATGACAATAAATATGTGTTAGGAATTAAGTACTACAGTAATGATAGAGCTTTCTCCACCTAAATTTTATGTCATCCTACGAAAGAACTTTTCGTAAAAGAAAAAAAAAGTTTTTAATGGCTTGCTTCCATGACTAATAGAAAACCAGAGGAATTTTCAGGCTAAGCTAAAAAGGAGAATATTTTTGGAAAAATACAGCAAGCACTTGGAGTACAATTTGTTACATCAACATTAAATCAGAACATGTTGAATAACCAATGGATTATTTTCTTCATAAGAATAGAGAGTAGTCCAGAGTGCAGTATTTAAAACACCGAGCATAAAAACCCTAAAAGTGTCAGTCTTTTCATGTACCCCAAAAGTTGAAAAATAAAACAGTGGGTTATAGTAGTAATTGCTTTGAGCAGGGCTCTGCCAGTATTTGAAGTTCTTGGCATAACTCCATTGTACTTTCTGAACTGGGTTCTACTAGAAGATGAACTCCCCTACAGCAGTTTCCTCATGCGTGAAGTGGTGGGTTTAGAATAGATGGCCTCTGAGGCTCCTGACAACCCTAATATTCTTGGATTTTAAAACAACGAATTTAAGAGAAACAGGTCAAATTTTATGTTTTCAGTTGCATATAAATATAGTAGCAGCAGAAATGATAGACGCAACATGTATCTGTTCTGTTAGCAAAATATCTCTTTGCACAATGCCCTTCCGAATCACTGCTCCTGGTTACAACTATTTGAAAGCACTGTATGATGTTATCAAAAGTGTACTTAAAGAAGCAGCCAGGCTGGGGTCATGCCTGTAATCCCAGCTCTTTGGGAGGCCAAAGCAGGAGGATCACTTTAGGCTAGAAGTTCGAGACTAGCCTGGGCAACATAGTAAGACCCCCATCTCTAACAAAAAAAAATTAATTAATTAGCCAGGTGTGCAGATGTGCACCTGTAATCCCAGCCACTTGGGAAGCTGAAGCAGGAGGATCACTTCAGCCTGGGAGTTTGAGACTGCAGTAGGCTATGATTGTACCACTGCACTTCAGCCTAGGCGATGGAGTAAGACCCTGTCTCTAAAACAATAAAAACAAGAAGTCAAAGGGAAGCGTGGTTTGTCCTGTTTAAATGCTACAGCAATAGACTTCATTTACGAGAATTTAGGAATACTAGAACAAGTGGTGTCTCTTTCATCATTGCTGTTTCTTTCCTAGGTTAACAATTCACAAAGAATTGCAGGTAAGATCAATCTGGCCACACTTTCTTATGAGCAAGAACAGATGTTAATACTTAAAGGAAAGAACAATTAGGGGCCTAGGTGGGATCATTTGGTCTAGGTGCAGACTTTGAGCATTTCACTGATGGCCCCCCTCTCTCATACACTCCATGTTATTCTGCCTCCTACTTCCACTCATCGCGATGCCTTCATCCTTTTTCCTTCCACCGTTAGGAGTGTATGCTGGTCTCTGTATGTTTCCTTCTCCTCCACTGAGTCACCAATGGCTCCAATGGGTATCACTTTGCTTAAAGTCAACACACTGGAGATGGCTGGCCATAAATATTATTATATCTTCAGTGTGCTGAAGGCAAATACCATTAGCCAACAGTTTTGTGCCTAGGTAAACCAGCATTCAGGTAAAATAAAGATGTGTTAGCCATAGGAATCTGAAACAGCTGACCATGAAGAGATAGTCCCCAAAAGAAATGTGGAAGAAACAGTTCAGGAAGAAGAAAAATGGTATTTCTAGTTCTAGATCCCTGAGGAATAGCCACACTGACTTCCACAATGGTTGAACTAGTTTACAGTCCCACCAACAGTGTAAAAGTGTCCCTATTTCTCCACAACTTCTCCAGCACCTGTTGTTTCCTGACTTATTAATGATCGCCATTCTAACTGGTGTGAGATGGTATCTCATTGTGGTTTTGATTTGCATTTCTCTGATGGCCAGTGATGATGAGCATTTTTTCATGTGCTTTTTGGCTGCATAAATGTCTTCTTTTGAGAAGTGTCTGTTCATATCCTTCACCCACTTTTTGATGGGGTTGTTTTTTTCTTGTAAATTTCTTTGAGTTCATTGTAGATTCTGGATATTAGCCCTTTGTCAGATGAGTAGGTTGCAAAAATTTTCTCCCATTCTGTAGGTTGCCTGTTCACTCTGATGGTGGTTTCTTTTGCTGTGCAGAAGCTCTTTAGTTTAATTAGATCTCATTTGTCAATTTTGGCTTTTGTTGCCATTGCTTTTGGAGTTTTAGACATGAAGTCCTTGCCCATGTCTATGTCCTGAATGGTATTGCCTAGGTTTTCTTCTAGGGTTTTTATGGTTTTAGGTCTAACGTGTAAGTCTTTAATCCATCTTGAATTAATTTTTGTATAAGGTGTAAGGAAGGGATCCAGTTTCAGCTTTCTACATATGACTAGCCAGTTTTCCCAGCACCATTTATTAAATAGGGAATCCTTTCCCCATTTCTTCTTTTTGTCAGGTTTGTCAAAGATCAGATAGTTGTAGATATGCGGCATTATTTCTGAGGGCTCTGTTCTGTTCCATTGGTCTATATCTCTGTTTTGGTACCAGTACCATGCTGTTTTGGTTACTGTAGCCTTGTAGTATAGCTTGAAGTCAGGTAGCGTGATGTTTCCAGCTTTGTTCTTTTGGCTTAGGATTGACTTGGCAATGCGGGCTCTTTTTTGGTTCCATATGAACTTTAAAGTAGTTTTTTCCAATTCTGTGAAGAAAGTCATTGGTAGCTTGATGGGGATGGCATTGAATCTATAAATTACCTTGGGCAGTATGGCCATTTTCACGATATTGATTCTTCCTACCCATGAGCATGGAATGTTCTTCCATTTGTTTGTATCCTCTTTTATTTCATTGAGCAGTGATTTGTAGTTCTCCTTGAAGAGGTCCTTTACATCCCTTGTAAGTTGGATTCCTGGGTGTTTTATTCTCTTTGAAGCAATTGTGAATGGGAGTTCACTCATGATTTGGCTCTCTGTTTGTCTGTTATTGGTGTATAAGAATGCTTGTGATTTTTGTACATTGATTTTGTATCCTGAGACTTTGCTGAAGTTGCTTATCAGCTTAAGGAGATTTTGGGCTGAGATGATGGGGTTTTCTAAATATACAATCATGTCATCTGCAAACAGGGACAATTTGACTTCCTCTTTTCCTAATTGAATGCCCTTTGTTCCCTTCTCCTGCCTGATTGCCCTGGCCAGAACTAGAAATACCATGTGACCCAGCCATCCCATTAGACACAGCCATCCCATTACTGGGTATATACCCAAAGGATTATAAATCATGCTGCTATAAAGACACATGCACGTGTATGTTTATTGCGGCACTATTCACAATAGCAAAGACTTGGAACTGACCCAAATGTCCAACAATGACAGACTGGATTAAGAAAATGTGGCACATATATACCATGGAATACTATGCAGCCATAAAAAATGATGAGTTCATGTCCTTTGTAGGGGCATGGATGAAGCTGGAAACCATCATTCTCAGCAAACTATCGCAAGGACAAAAAACCAACACCGCATGTTCTCACTCATAGGTGGGAATTGAACAATGAGAACACATGGACACAGGAAGGGGAACATCACACACCGGGGACTGTTGTGGGGTGGGGGGAGGGGGGAGGGATAGCATTAGGAGATATCCCTAATGCTAAATGACCAGTTAATGGGTGCAGCATACCAACCTGGCACATGTATACCTATGTAACAAACCTGCACGTTGTACACATGTACCCTAAAACTTAAAGTATAATTAAAAAAAAGAATTAATACAAATTAAAAAAAAAGAAAAATGAACACATAATAAAGGACTTGAATGGAGGAAGCAATAATGAGCAAATAAATTGGCAACATTCTTTTATCAATGTAAATAAGTGCCCCTTATTTAAAAATATTAAAAATAATTATTATGAGCAATTTTTAAAGGAAGAGCCAGTATCCTACATAACAATGTATAAGAAGAGGGGGTGGCGTGAATAATGACATTCTAAGCTCACTATATTATTCTGGAGGAAGGTGGTGATAGGGATTCATTTTGAACTTTCTGAGTCAAGTAAGCATATTAAACATTTAAGGCTAACTACTAAAAGAATAGAAGTAGAGCATGTAACTTAAACCAGTGAAGAGGGAACAGGATAAAGAAAACTTTATCATTCTAATAGAAAGTAATGAAAACGCTAAGAAAATTATGGCAATTAGCGTAGAATAAAGGGGGAGAAATATTAATAAATCCAAATATGTCCGCAATTACAATACATGTAAGTATTCAATATATACCAATTAAAAGATGGATGTTAAAAAGTATACAACAAATTATTATTATTGCAAACATTTTTTCCATATCACTAAACATGACCATTTAATGACATTATTTGATAAAGTTTAACTCCATTTAGTGGAGATCTAAACCTAAATTTAAATTTGGAAATCCCGTTATAATCTCTCATTCCATAATAATTTATACTTTAACTCTTACATGAAGAGTTCTCACTAAACTCCACTACTAAATCTTTTTGAAAATAATACTGTGTTATTAAAATGTTATTCAAAATTAACCATAAAAAAAGTATACAACAAAATTCAAATATCTCCTGTTTATAAAACATACTTTAAACATAAGGATAGAAAAGTTTAGAAGGTCATAAAAGGATAGACTAATATTTTTTAGAAGAATGCTAATTTATGCAAATATTAATCAAATATATTTTCAGGCAAAAAGCAGCTATAAAGTTGATAAAAGGAAGAGTTTAATAAACTTCCTAATGGAAGATGCAACAATTCAAAATATGTATGTATCTAACTTTATAGTCTTAAAATATATACAGCATAAGTTGGCAGAATACAAGGATAAATGAACAAATCTATCAACTTATACCTCTCAAGAACTGGCAGATCAGGCAGACAAAAAGAAGTGAGGATATAGAAAGCTAAAATGCATGATTAACAAGCTGTAAGACAGCCAAAACCTATCATAGATTTGGAAATTTAAAAATGAACATTAAAATGTTTTATGGATTAAAGAATAAATTATACATTCAGCATTAAACGAATACTTAGAACTGACTGAGAATAAATATATTATGTGTCAAACACATGTGAGATATAGCATAAAGCAGTATGTAGAGGTAAATTTATCACCTTAAATGTATACCTTAGAAAAGAAGAAAGATTGAAAAGAGCCAAAATTAATGAATCAAAAACAATTTAAAAAATAAGATCCATAAAGCCTAAAAACAGTTATTTGAAAATATTTCTAAATTGAGTAAAAATCTAGGCAAAGTAATTGCCTAAAAATAAAGAAGATACACATTTCTAAAAAAAAAAAAAAAAAAAAAAAGCTAAAAGGAAAAGTACATAGCTACAGATAGAACTCAGAGTTTTTAATCAAAAGGAAAAACTGAGAACAACTTTATGCCAAAATTTGAAAACCTAGGTTAAAAAGAGTTTCTATAACATAATATAAATTGCCTAAATGCATACTAGTAGAAATAGAAAAGGCAACTAAACTCTAGCCAGTGTGCAATTAAATCAGTAGTTTAAAAATCTTTATTTTCTTTTAAAACATTTTTTATTGAGATGTAATTTACACTCAGCAAAATTAACCCGTTTTCATGTACAGTTTTAGGAGTTTGGCAGATATATACAGACATGTAACCCCCTCCACAATCAAGATACAGAACAGTTTTGTTGCCCTAAAAAATTCCTTCATTCCCCTTTGTAGACAACTTTTCTTCACCCCTAGGCCCCAGTAACCAGTGCTTTTTTTTCTGCCAATATGATTTTGTGCTTTCCAGAATGTGGTAAGAATGGAATTATGTAGCACGTAGCATTTTGAGAATGCATTTCAGATTCATCTGTGTTATGGTGTGTATCTGTCGTTTATTCCTTTTTGTTGCTGAGTAGTATTTCATTACATGGATATCCCATAGTTTACCCATTTGACCAGTTGAAAGACTTTTGGGTTGTTTCTAGGTTTAGGCTATTATGTACATACATGTTTTTATTTCACCTAGGTAAATAACTAAGAGTAAGATTTCTGGGTTATGTGGTAAGGGTATGTTTAACTTTATAAGAAATTGTCATGCTGTGTTTGTACCACTTTGCATTCCCATCAACAAGGTGATAGAGTTTCAGTGGCTCTGTATTCTTGTCAACACTTGGTATTATCCATTCATTTATTTTAGCCATTCTTATAGGTATGAGTCTCACTGTAATTCAAATTTGCATTTTCATAATGACTAATGAGCATCTTTTCATGTTCTTATTTGCCATTTTTATATCTTTGTTTAAGTATTTTGACCATTTTTTAAACTGAACTGTTCATTTTCTTATTGAGTTTTCAGACTGTTTTATATATATATGTTATATATATAACATATATATTTTTATATATAACATATGTATAAAATATATGAATATATTTTAGATATCTAATATATATATATTCTGGGTAAAAATTACATACAGTAGCTTAAAATCATCCTTCTTTTTAAAAAATGAAGCCTTAGGTGGTGATGATTTAACCATTCTACCAAACCATCGAGGAAAAACTACAAATTTTTCTAGAAAATGAAATAAAGCTCCTTAATCATTTTATTGTATAACCATGATACCAAAGCACATAGTATGAGAAAGGAAAATTTGTAGAGCAATTTTACTTGCAACATAGATGAAATATTATCAAACTAAATTCATGTTCAAGTGAGTTTTTTGCATCCAATGATAGGTTAACATCAGACAATTTATTAATATAACTTACTGCCTGACCATATTAAGAAAATCATATAATTATCTCAAAAGAAGAAAAAGCACTGAGGATATCTAATATTCATGATTTAAAGAAAGAAACAATATTAGGAAATTACAAATAAAAGCAGGCTTTCTTTTTTTTTTTTGAAACAGGGTTTCCCACTGTTGCACAGGTGGTGTGCAGTGGTGTGATCACAGCTCACTGCAGCTTTGACCTCCTGGGCTCAGGTGATCCTCCCACCTGAGCCTCCCTAGTAGCTGGGACTATAGGTGCATGCCACCACGCCTGGCTAATATTTTGTATTTTTTGTAGAGATGGGATTTCACCGTGCTGCCCGGGCTAATCTCGAAGTCCTGGGCTCAAGCAGTCCTCCCACCTTGGCCTCCCAAGGTGCTAGGATTACAGGCATGAGCCACTACACCCAGCCAAAAGCACACATCTTTAACCTGGTAATGTGTCCCTACAAAAATCACCATATTGAAGGGCGAAACACTAGAAACCTTCTCTTTGATGACAGGTAAGAGAGAAGAGTGTTCATCCTTACCCCCTCTATTTAACATAGTTCTTGAGGTCCAACCCAGAAAAATAAGACACAATTCCCGCACAGAGAGTGCAAGAGAATCTAAACAAACTTAGAACTAATATGTAGGACTTAGCAAGTTTGCTGTGAATAAAATATAATAGATTTTAAAAACAATTGAATTCATATATAACAGCTACAAGTAATAATAAAACATAATATTTTTTAAAAGATTCTATTCTTGACAGTTCTATTTCCCCCCACCACGCCCCACTACCCCCCGCAAAAAAAAAACCCTCAGTACTCAGAGCTGTGCTTCTGGTTTCTGTAGCTGATTCTCCATTTCACCCTGGACCTGGCTCTTTATCTTGCCACCTGGGAGAAATTTGATTCTCCCTATGCTTTCTAACTTCAAATATCTACCTAGGTGGTTCTGTACTCCGAGTGTTTATTGATCCATTTAATTATATTCCCAAACTTTTTTTGAGTAATGACTATATTTCAGGCATTTTCTTTTGGCCAGCATCTATTTAGCAGGTTTTCTTTTTTAGATCTGGAAAATTTGCTCCCAACAGCTGCTCTCCAGAGCCCCCTAAACACAGCTTGGATAGGCTTTGTTTTGACCCTAGTTTCTGTATAAGATGTTCCTTTCTCCTTATTTTTGCTCACCTTTGATTCTCAGCCTTTTGGATGTCACAAACTTGTCCCCATAGTCACCTTGAAGAGCCCTTCTAAGGTCAGCTTTGACATTTAAATGACCCTTGTCTGCAGGAAAACAGGGATACAATGCAATGCACATGGAAATATTTCCTCCTGGGCTCTCAAGATTACAGGCAATCTGCTGTTCAGCTTTGTATCTTTTGAGCCTAATAGACAGTCTTGCAAAAAGAGGGTGCCAGTTATATTTAGAAATGGATTATACAAAACTTCAAACATCCAGAAAACAGAGCAATTTATTTTAGATTTGCCAAGAGGTGATAGGAAGGGGCTGCTTCATCTCCTCTGTCTCCTTTACCTTCTCTGTCACTGTGCAATCAGACAGGGACCTTCTACAGGTCCTCCACTAACAAGAGGACAAACTGAACAAGATTACAAACACAGTCCCCTCCCCCTTAGCTCTTGGTTTGCCCCCGTCTCTTCCTGCCCTGGGCCCATCCCTCCACCACAAGAAGCCCCTGGGGCACAGGTGGGGACACTTACCAGTACATCTGCTCAAGCTCCATCCCCTGGAAGCTCTTGGCCATCTGGGCAGAGAACCCAGGGGTCCTCAGTACACAGAGTGGGATTTCTGAGAGGGTGCAGGCTCTAGGGGGGTGCACTCCATTGGCCCAGACATCTCACTTTGTATAGAAGGGCAGATCTGGGGAGAGGTCTTCTTAGGTGCCTGGCTCAGGGCAGGCTTTCTTGGGTCTCAGTGTGCAGCCAGGAATACGTCAGCTTGTTTCCTGAAGGATTCTGACTCAATATGCTATCATCATTTTTTGGGTAGAATTGCAGCATTTGAGAACTTGAAGAGACTTTAGAAATTGCCTCATCCAAAGTGTTCATTAAGTGGGGAAACCAAGGCCAAAAAATAATGAACTCATTTACTAATGGTCATGTGACAGGGTCAGCGTTAGACAATTAATAGAAAACCAGATTTCTGGAGTCCGGATGATGCTTCTGGTTCGCGTCCTACTAGCTGTATATTCACAGCACCTATCACTGGAGTTCCTGAATGGGCTGACACATTTATGTTGCCAATTTTGTTGCTAGTGAATAAAACTGACAAACGGTAACCACAGTGGAACAAACTGGTGAGAGGAGGCCAGAGGAAAATGCAGCCACATGCCCTGTAGCATCTGCATCACTTGGATTTGTCCTCCTTGTGACATAATAAATTTCCTGAAATGAATAGGGAATGTCATTTAGAATCAGAAGTGGACAACAGCAGGCTATCAGGTAAGCCGAAATGCCAGAAGCTAAGTAGTATAATAGAAGGGAACAACAGCACTGCATTGTTTTGGGTTTTTTTGTTGTTGTTGTTGTTTTTGAGACGGAGTTTCGCTCTTGTTGCCTAGGCTGGAGTGTAATGGCGCGATCTCGGCTCACTGCAACCTCCGCCTCCTGTGTTCAAGCAGTTCTCCTGCCTCAGCCTCCTGAGTAACTGGGATTACAGGTGCATGCCACCATGCCCGGCTAATGTTTTGTATTTTTAGTAGAGACAGGGTTTCACCATGTTGTCTCGAACTCCTGACCTCAGATGATCCACCTGCCTCGGCCTC